>NC_000022.11:38406533-38558048 GCF_000001405.40 Homo sapiens | reverse complement strand
AGAGGTTGCAGTGAGCCAAGATCACGCCACTGCATTCCAGCCTGGGCGACAGAGTGAGACTCCGTCTCAAAAAAAAAAAAAAAAAAAAAAAAGAACTTTGTCTAATTATCTAATTATTAACAGCAAAATCTTCCCAATTACCTAAATATCTTTTGTAACTCAAATAAATTTAGAAGTATAGTGAGTTGTAGGCACCATTAAATGTTCAAATACTATTTATAAAATTAGTTATCAACTTGAAAATTGAAGGAATGTACCATTTAATCAGTCAGAGGCCAATCCATTACAAAAAGGTCAAATTATCTTAAACGTTAAAAGGTCTCAAATAGCAAATATGCACAGGTTATTACCAAATTTATTTATTTATATTCTATTTTATTTTTTGAGACACGGTCTCACTCTGTCACCCAGGCTAAAATGCAGTGGCTCCATCACGGCTCACTGCAGCCTGAGTAGATGGGACTGCAGGCACAGGCCAGCATACCTGGCTAATTTTGGTATTTTCTGTAGAGACTGGGTTTCGCCATGTTATCCAGGCTGGTCTTGAACTCCCAGGCTCGAGCGATCCACCTCCCTCGGCCTCCCAAAGTGCTAAGATTACAGACATGAGCCACCATGCCCATATTGCCAAATTTAATATGAAAATAGTAATCTATGGGTTTGATTTGTGTCTCTATTTTTAAATCTCCCTATATTTAAAAACACTATTTCTACACTTAATTCTAAATTTTCCTGAGTCTCAAAAAGGAAACAATTGTGCTATCCCAAATAATTTGGGGTATCCTCACAGGTAAATTTTGGGGTTACCTTTTCAGCTGATTGAGATTACATATCAACCAGGAATTTTGTCTGGGATTTTCCAGAGGTATAGCTTTCCAGGGTAATTTTTCTCAGGAAGAAGAGGGACAAATAAAGCTTTCTTTAATAGTTGCTAGCCCAACCACCATGGCACACGTTTACCTATGTAACAAACCTGCATATCTGGCACATGTACCCCTGAATTTAAAATAAAAGTTGAAGAAAAAAATAGTTGCTGGGCCTATAAGATTTCCAAGTGTATTCCCTCCAAATGGGTTGATCGCTTAGCCCATGTCCTTTAGATTTAAGTTGTGCAGGTACACTATCTAGATTTTTCTTTTCCTTATTGAAGTCTGCAGCCCTCACTAAATTTGTGGATAACTTCCAACATTGTTTCAATTTACATTTAAATTGCTCTCTTAAACTATGTAAATGTAAATGTATTGGATTATCTATATATCTTAAATTTTTGTCTGACCTGTGATCACATCCCAAAAAATCATGTTAATAGACTACATACAAGGTTTTTAAAGTGCCCCTACCAGGTCTTAGCACAATTAACACAATTAATATGTGTTGCATTTAATGAATGAATGAGATCATGACTTAAATTTAGGCCTTTTCTTATTCAGAGCTTTAAATGCACTACAACATTGGGCTACCAATTAAATGTATGCTGTCAGAATCTGACAGTTACTCTTCTAACTGCTAGCATTACCTACAACATCTTTGACATTTACTATTCTGACATGTCCTCCATAATATTTGGTTTATGTGAGATAACCTGACCATAATGACAATCACTGGATTTTCCTAATACCTGTTTTTCATATGTTTTTCAGTATATTAAAAACTGAAGCCGGGCATGATGGCTCATGTCTATAATCCCAGCACTTTGGAAGGCCAAGGTGGGCAGATCTCTTGAGCCTCAGGAGTTTGAGACCAGCCTGGGCAACATAGCAAGACCCCAGCCATACAAAAAATAAAAAATTAGCCCTGTGTCAGGTGACAGAACAAGATTCTGTCTCAAAAAAGAAAAAGAAAAAACATTGAAAATTCAATTGACTATAGAAACATAGTTCCAGCACAATATTAAATACCCAATTAATAACTAAGATGGGCTGGGCATGGTGGCTTATGCCTGTAATCCCAGCACTTTGGGAAGCCAAGGCAGGCGGATCACCTGAGGTCAGGAGTTCGAGACCAACCTGGCCAATATGGTGAAACCCCATTTCTACTAAAAATACAAAAATTAGCCTGGCGTGGTGGCAGGCACCTGTAATCCCAGCTACTCGTGAGGCTGAGGCAGGAGAATCTCTTGAACCTGGTAGGCGGAGGCTGCAGTGAGCCAAGATCACGCCACTGCATTCCAGCCTGGGCGACAGAGCAAGACTCCATCTCGAAAAAAAAAAAATAATAATAATAATAATTAAGACGATCTGTAACTCCAATTCAATTCTAAAGACTAGTAAGACATAAGGCCTTGCTAACCCATTTACTATTTTTTTAAGTTTTTTCTTAAAATAATTTATTATTATTATTTTTTAAGCCTACAGCATGCAGTATTCCCAGGTTCCATTTACTATTGAAGTAAGAACGATAGGGCTTATCATTTGTTTTGCTGATCCACTTGCCCATACACAATAGAACCTGTGATCTAGCAAGTGGCATGCTATTTGTTCAGCCAAGAATTGCTGTTCATGTTCTGTAGATAGATAGGTAGATGATAGAATAGATAGATAGATACATAGATAGGAAGGATACTAATGATATGAATACTTTCTCCTCTCTTAATATTTCTATTTCTATTCCTGTTACTAATGCTTTCTTTCTATTTCCAGTAAGTTACTAGGAGGTGGAATTGAAAGTATGGCAATTACAGAAGCTTTTGGAGGTAGGTAGAACCTTAATATTTTGTTAAATGAAATATTATACACACACACATACACATCTATGTGTATACATACACATATAATTAAATAAACAACCAATAATAAATTGTAAGTATTTTGGAACTTACAAAATCTCAATTATCATAACATGAGATCATTCTGTACTGCAACGAAAATATATATGAACATTAACAGATGGGTCTTATCAACACTTTTCATCTTTTATTTGTGATTCCTATAGAAGATAATAGATTTTTTTTTTTTTTTTTGAGACGGAGTCTCGCTGTGTCACCCAGGTCCAGGCTGGAGTGCAGTGGCGCAATCTCGGCTTCCTGCAAGCTCTGCCTCCCGGGTTCACGCCATTCTCCTGCCTCAGCCTCCCGAGTAGCTGGGACTACAGGCGCCTGCCACCACTCCCAGCTAATTTTTTTGTATTTTTAGTGGAGACGGGGTTTCACCATGTTAGCCAGGATGGTCTTGATCTCCTGACCTCGGCCTTCCAAAGTGCTGGGATTACAGGCGTGAGCCACTGCGCCCAGCTGATAATAGATTTTTTTTCACTTATTTGTTCAAAAGGTAATTGAATAATGAGGCTGATTTTATTTCTAGGCAATTAATGTTCCATGAACATAGAGACTAGATTCCCTCTTCCCTGATTATATCCTCTATTTTTTTTTTTAAATAATAGATAAAGGGTCTCGCTATGTTGCCCAAGATGGTCTCGAACTCCTGGACTCAAGCAATCCTCCCACTTTGACCTCCCAAAGTATTGGGATTACAGGCATGAGCCACTGCACCCGTCCTATCCTCTATTTTTAAAAAGCAATTCATGCATAGCTACACTGTGTATCACATCTGGGAATTCCAGTATTTGCTGTCCTTGGAGAACTAAATCTGTTTTTTTTTTTTTTTTTTCTGTTGACTTGGGCACTAAATCTGGTTTTCATTATTTCTGTTGACTCAGTCTTAGTGGCTTACCTTCTTCTGTATTTATTGGTGTTTCTGAGCTTATTGTTTGATTTTAATCTATGAAAGTTCAATGGACCTGGATTGGTAGGTAGGAAAGTTTTCCTCCAGAACGAATTTGCTTTTGCTGGTAGCTAGGGGATGGCACCAGTTTAAGACTACTTCAGCTCCCCTTTAAGGACCTCAGTTCAGTAGGGGAACCCCAGGCTTTCTTTCCTGTGGTGGGGTCTTTATTTTATTTTCATTTATTTATTTATTTATTTAGAGATGGAGTCTTGCTCTGTCTCCCAGGCTGCAGTGCAGTGGTGCCATCTCGGCTCACTGCAACCTCTGCCTCCTAGGTTCAAGCAATTCTGCCTCAGCTTCCTGTGTAGCTGGGATTACAGGCAACTGCCACCACGCCTGGCTGATTTTTTTTTTTTTTTTTTTTTTTTTTGGAGATGGAGTCTCGCTCTGTTGCCCAGGCTGGAGTGCAGTGGCCTGATCTTGGCTCACTGCAACTTCTGCCTCCCAGGTTCAAGCAATTCTGCCTCAGCCTCCCAAGTAGCTGGGACTATAGGTGCACGCCACCACACCCAGCTAATTTTTTATTTTTTAGTAGAGATGGCATTTCACCATGTTGCCCAGGCTGGTCTCGAACTCCTGAGCTCATGCAGCCTGCCCGCCTCGGCCTCCCAAAGTGCTAGGATTACAGGCATGAGCCACCATGCCCAGCTAATTGTTGTATTTTTGGTAGAGATGGGGTTTCACCATGTTTGCCAGGCTGGTCTCGAACTCCTGACCTCAAGTGATCCATTCATCTCATCCTCCCAAAGTGCTGGGATTACAGGTGTGAGTCACCGCACTTTACCCCAGGTGGTAGGGTCTTAAACTTTCTTTTTTTTTTTTTTTTTTTGAGACGGAGTCTCGCTCTGTCACCCAGGCTGGAGTGCAGTGGCGCGATCTCGGCTCACTGCAAGCTCCGCCTCCCGAGTTCACACCATTCTGCTGCCTCAGCCTCCCGAGTAGCTGGGACTACAGGCGCCCACCACCACACCCAGCTAATTTTTTGTATTTTTAGTAGAGATGGGGTTACACAGTGTTAGCCAGGATGGTCTCAATCCCCTGACCTTGTGATCCACCCGCCTCAGCCTCCCAAAGTGCTGGGATTACAGGCATAAGCCACCGCGCCCGGCCTTAAACTTTCATTTATATGACTGTTACTAAGGAAAACTTGATTTAAATTAATTTATATTAAACAAATAAGGCCGGGCGTGGTGGCTCACACCTGTAATCCCAGCACTTTGGGAGGCTGAGGTGGGCGGATCACCTGAGTTCAGGAGTTTGAGACCAGCCTGGCCAATATGGTGAAACCCCATCTCTACTTAAAATACAAAAACTAGCCGGGCGTGGTGGCAGGCACCTGTAATCCCAGCTACTCAGGAGGCTGAGTCAGGAGAATCGCTTGAACCCGGGAGGTGAAGGTTGCAGTGAGCTGAGATCGTGCCACTGCACTCCAGCCTGAGTGAGAGCAAGACTCTGTCTCAAAAAAAAAATAAAAAATAACATCCGAGATACTTTATAAGTAAGATTTGCCAGTTGGAAAAGAAAAAGAAAACAGTAATATTCTAAAGCCATGTTTTATTCTTTATGAAAATATCTGGAAATTATGCATTTTTAAAATCATTTTTTTCTGTATTTCACAGAATTTCGTACTGGAAAAACCCAGCTTTCTCATACCCTCTGTGGTAAGGATATATAACAACAATAACAATAATAATCATGGCTATTACTTATCAAACATCTACTATGTGCCTGATACTCTAAATAATCTCATATCTGAACATACTTGCAAGGAAACTAAAACACAGGCAGATTAAGTAAACTGCCCGTGGTTATACAGCTGGTCTTTGAATGTGTGATCCTTGAGGTGATGTATGTGCTGCACTATGAACACCTGAGTAGAAATAGAGAGAAGTTGAATGGGTGTATGAATGTGTTGGTGAGGAGTCCACTGTCTCAGTTTTTCCCATTCCATCTTTTCTATATCTTTTTTAGAAGAGTGACACAAAATCTATTGAGTCCTAGAATCTTTCACTTTCCATGGCATAAAATTGGCCCTAAGAGAGACTTAAAAACAAAATTGTTTTAAACAAAATAACGAAAGATATCTCCTTTTCCACAAATACACTACTGTGCATTTCTTTGAGCTATGGAGAAGGAACTTGGCAAAGTGGTTAAGAAAGGAGTTCTGGCCGGGCCCGGTGGCTCACGCCTGTAATCCCAGCACTTTGGGAGGCCGAGGCGGGCGGATCACAAGGTCAGGAGATCCAGACCATCCTGGCTAACACGGTGAAACCCGGTCTCTACTAAAAATACAAAAAAATTAGCCGGGCATGGTGGCGGGCGCCTGTAGTCCCAGCTGCTGGGGAGGCTGAGGCAGGAGAATGGCGTGAACCCGGGAGGCGGAGCTTGCAGTGAGCCGATATCGCGCCACTGCACTCCAGCCTGGGCAACAGAGCAAGACTCGTCTCAAAAAAAAAAAAAAAAAAAAAAAGAAAGGAGTTCTGGAATCAAAATGCCGGACTTCAATCCTGGTTCTATCGTTAGTAGCTGTGTGACCTTGGGCAAGTTGCTCTACTTCTCTAATTTCCCCCACCAATAAAATTGAAATAATGACAGTGCCAAATGTTAGGATTGTTTTGAAAAGTAAATGAAATAATGTATGTACCTGGTATAAAGTAGCTCCTTAGTGTTAACTACTACTACATAAAAAGTAATTGCAGTCTAGCGTGGTGGCTCACACCTGTAATCCCAGCACTTTGGGAGGCCAAGGCAGGAGGATCTCCTGAAGTCAGGAGTTTGAGACCAGCCTGGTAAACATGGTGAAACCCTGTCTCTACTAAAAAATACAAAAGTTAGCTGGGCCTGGTTGAACATGCCTGTAATCCCAGCTACTGGGGAGGCTGAGGTCAGAGAATCACTTGAACCCGGGAGGCAGAGGTTGCCGTGGGCCGAGATCGTGCCACTGTACTCCAGCCTGGGCGACAAAGTGAGACCTGTCTCGAAAAAAAAAGTAAATGCATTTTTAAAATTTGACATACATTAATTTAAAGGTAACATATTAGTTATATAGCATAAATTATATTTGTGACTTTTTTTTTTTGAGACGGAGTCTCGCTGTGTCACCCAGGTTAGAGTGCAGTGGCGCGATCTCAGCTCACTGCAACCTCCGCCTCCCAGGTTCAAGCGATTCTCCTGCCTCAGTCTCCTGAGTAGCTGGGATTACAGGCACTCACGACCATGCCCGGCTAATTTTTGTTTTTTGTATTTTCAGTAGAGATGGGGTTTCACCATGTTGATGAGGCTGGTCTCAAACTCCTGACCTCATGATCCGCCCACTCGGCCTATTTGTGACTATTTCTTTCTTTTTTTTCTTTTTTCTTTCTTTCTTTCTTTCTTTCTTTTTTTTTTTTTTTTTTTGAGATGGAGTCTTGATCTATCACCCAGGCTGGACTGCAGTGGCACGATCTCAGCTCACTGCAACCTCCGCCTCCCAGGTTCAAGCAATTCTCCTGCCTCAGCCTCCAGAGTAGCTGGGATTACAGGCATGCACCACCACACCCAGCTAATTTTTGTATTTTTAGTAGAGACAGGGTTTTACCATGTTGGTCATGCTGGTCTTGAACCCTTGACCTCAAATGATCCACCCACCTTGGCCTCCCAAAGTGCTGGGATTACAGGCATGAGCCACCATGCCCGGCCATATTTGTGACTATTTCTTGTAGAAAGAAAGTTAGTAGGTTGGGCGCGGTGGCTCAAGCCTGTAATCCCAGCACTTTGGGAGGCCGAGGTGGGCAGATCACGAGGTCAGGAGATCAAGACCATCCTGGCCAACATGGTGAAACCCCATCTCTACTAAAAGTATAAAAATTAGCTGGGTGTGGCAGTGCCTGCCTGTAGTCCCAGCTACTTGGGAGGCTGAGGCAGAAGAATTGCTTGAACCCGGGAGGCGGAGATTGCAGTGAGCTGAGATTGCGCCACTGCACTCCAACCTGACGACAGAGCTAGACTCGTCTCAAAAAAAAAAAAAAAAGAAAAGAAAAGAAAAAGAAAGAAAATTAGTAATATTTAAATTTTATTTCCATTCTTTGGGAGAACTAACTTTCACGAATATCTTCCATTGTGAAAGATAGTGAAATTATTTGTTGAATAACAACTATGCTGGCAGAATACTTATAATTTCACACTGGTTAAGTAATATGAAAATATAACATGTTGTTTAGAAACGAAAGGATCATGACTCTTTGCAAAATGTACTAAAGAGTTGCAACAGCAGATTCCATGTGTATTTATATAGTCATGTGTACAAAGTTTATTCACTCCTATTAATATAAATTTTTAATTGCTTCCTAGTGACAGCTCAACTTCCAGGAGCTGGTGGCTACCCAGGAGGAAAGATTATCTTCATTGATACAGAAAATACTTTGTAACCTTTTTATTTAAAGTTGCTAACATAATAGTGTGATATAGGAATGTTACCACTGAAGAGTTTGTCTGAGATATACAATCTTTGTAGTCATTCCATAAACCAGTAGTAATGAGACAAACCAAAGGGAAAACAATTACTGTTTAAGTTCTCCAATCACTTTGTATTTAATGAGGTTTCACTTCTTCATATGGGTTTATGAGACAAAACAAATACATGAGAGGAAATTATATCATCATTTTTAATCCTCTTACTTCTCTAAAGATGTTGCTTAATAGTTAGAAAAAAGATTTTTTTTTTTTTGAGACGGAATCTCCCTGTTGCCCAGGCTGGAGTCCAGTGGGGCAATCTCGGCTCACTGCAACCTCCATCTCTTGGGTTCAATCAATTCTCCTGCCTCAGCCTACCGAGTAGCTGGGATTACAGGTGTGTGCCACCACACCTGGCTAATTTTTTTGTATTTTTAGTAGAGACAGGGTTTTGACATGTTGACCAGGCTGTTCTGGAACTCCTGACCTCAGGTGATCCACCTGCCTCAGCCTCCCACAGTGCTAGGATTACAGGGGTGAGCGACTGCGCCTGGCTGAAAGATTATTGACTCACTGAAAGTCATGGTCCCAAATGAAGGGAACGGTATGAAGAGGGTGAAAGTTAATAAGGAAAACAGGCAGAACCTGTTTGGGTAACACAACGAATTGCAGTTTAATTAAAGTGTAAGGTATTCCAGGATATGGGCTAGAAAGATGATTGGGATCTTAGACATGAAAGGCTTTGAAACAAGATAGTGGGTGTAAACTGGATACTTTAGCAATATTCTAGGCAAGTAATGAGAACTTGATCTAGGTTGGAACTGGTAAGAATAAAAAGAAAAGGAAAAGAAGTATTAGGAAAATTGATAGGACTTGATGGCTATATTTGGTAGACAAAGGAAAGACAGGTTTGAGAAACCGCTCAGGTTTTTTGTCTAGATACTAGGAGAATAGTTATGTGATGCTAACAATAGAACTGGAAAGATCATGCTTCAGAGAAAAAGAGAAAAGGTGATGTTTCATTTTAATGTACTAATTTTACTTTTTTTTTTTTGAGACAGTGTCTTTCTCCATCACCCAGGCTGGAATGCAGTGGTGCAGTCTCAACTCACTGCAACCTCAGCTTCCCAAGTAGCTAAGTTTACAAATGTACACCACCACACCTGGCTAATTTTTGTATTTTTAATACAGATGGGGTTTCGCCATGTTGGCCAGGCTGGTTTTGAACTCCTGACCTCAAGTGATCCACCCACCTCAGCCTCCCAAAGTGTTGGAATTATAGGCGTGAGCCATCACGCCTGGCCTAATTTTTTTCTTCTTTTGAGACAGGTTCTTGCTCTGTTGCCCAGGCTGGAGTGCAGTGGCCCAATTACACTCACTGCAGACTCGAACTCCCAGGGTCAAGTGATCCTCCCACTTCAGCCTTCTGAGTAGCTGGAACTACAGGCACATACCACCACGCCTGGCTAATTTTTTTTATCTTTTGTAGAGACCAGGTTTCACCACGTTGCCCAGGCTGATCTCCAACTCCTGGGCTCAAGCGATCTGCCTGCCTTGGCCTCCCAAAGGACTGGGATTACAGGCATGAGCCATTGCACCCAGCCATCATTTTAATGTATTGAATATGATGTACATGAGGATATCCAGATGGCACTGGGAAATATTGAATTCAGCTTGAGAAAGGGGTAGGCCCAGAAATATGGACGAATTAACCAAGGGGGAAAGAGAACTTATAGAGAGAGAAGAGAGGAGAATTGAGAACATAACTTTGAGGTATGTTTATATTTAGGAAGAGGACTAAAATGAGAAACCCAGAGACAGAGGAAGTAGAAGGAAATCTGGTTGTAAAAGTCAAGCAAAAGGAAAGTTTCAAGACGATGAGTTGTCAGCAATGTTACACACACACGGATTTTGAGGATACAGCCTGAGAAAGATCATTATAAGTTCAAAATTAGGAGTTCAAGCGAACATTTGCCATAGGGTGAGGTGATAGAAGCTTTATGTAAACAAACAACAAGGGAGGGAGGCAGTATGAAATTGACCAATGAAAGGAAGAAGGCTAGGCACCGTGGCTCACGCCTGTAATCCCAGCACTTTGGGAGGCTGAGGCGGGTGGATTACCTGAGGTCAGGAGTTCGAGACCAGCCTGACCAACATGGAGAAACCCTGTCTCTACTAAAAATACAAAATTAGCCGGGCGTGGCGGCACATGCCTGTATTTCCAGCTACTCAGGAGGCTTAGGCAGGAGAATCGCTTGAACTGGGAGGCGGAGGTTGCGGTGAGCCGAGATCGTGCCATTGCACTCCAGCCTGGGCAACAAGAGGGAAACTCCGTCTCAAAAAAAAAAACAAAAACAAATAGGAAGAAAAAATATACTAGTTTGAGGAGGTATTCAGAGGAAATTCTTTTTAATAACAAAGAAGACCTATGCACATTTGTAAGGCTGTTCACAGTGAAGCCCCAGCCTGCCTCTCCAAGCTCAGTACTCACCATTGCCACTATTAGAGGCAAAGAGATGAATCTGTTTTAGTCCATCCCATTGCCTGTAAACATACTTTGTTATCAAAATTTGCACATATGTCTAGTCTCACTCCAGTGATCCCAGCACTTTGGGAGGCCAAGGCAGGAAGATCACTTGAGGCCAGGAGTTCAAGACCAGCCTGGGCAACATAGTGTCTCTACGAAATAAATTTTAAATTAGCCAGGTGTGGTTGCTATAAATCCCAGCTACTTGGAAGGCTGAGGCAGGAGGCTTATTTGAGGCCAGGAGTTCATGATTAGCCTGGGCAACATAGCAAGACTCTGTCTCTACCAAAAGAAAAAAAATCTAAAAACATTGTACATCAGCAGTTATTTAGATTTAACTATAAAGATTTTTGTTTTCTTTGTTCATTATGGTTTCTTGCATCCCAGATGTTATTTTTTCCTGTATTTTTGTTTTGCTGTAATACTTATTTCTTTCAGAAATGTAATACAGGTGGTAAACTTTGAACCTTAGTATGTCTGAAAGTGCCTTTATTTTGCTCTCACTCTTGGCTGTTAATTTGTCTGGTCACAGAGAACTTTGCATGGTATATTTCTATCTTCTTGGGTATTTGCTCCTTCCATCCCCATCTCACAGTCTTTCTGAATCATACAAATCATTTAAGGCTCTCATTTCAAGGCCTGCTTTTTCTAATCTTCCCTAATTACTCAATTTAGAAAATCTTGTCCTTCTTGACCTATTATAGAATTTACTATCTAAAATACTCACTTAGAAAACAAAACAGAGAACTGTTTGCAGAAGTCCCTTTTCAGAAATGCCAGGCATAAGAAGTCTCTGAAAGAGCCTTTTAACTTGGGGAAGGAGGGTGAAATGTCGTACAGGGCTTTAACAAGGGTGCTCAGCTGGAGTTCAGCTGGTTTCAGAAACAATTGATTAAGGATGATTCTTATCTCAGAGAGGGAAGAATTGTTCTTGCAGAGTAGCAGCCACTGTTTGGGCAATTTGGAGTTTTTTTTTTTCGAGATGGAGTTTCACTCTTGTTGCCCAGGCTGGAGTGCAATGGTGCGATCTCGGCTCACTACAACCTCCATCTCCCAGGTTCAAGCGATTCTCCTCCTCAGCCTCCCGAGTAGCTGCGATTACAGGTGCATGCCACCACACCCGGCTAATTTTGTATTTTTAGTAGAGACAGGGTTTCTCCATGTTGGTCGGGCTGGTCTCGAACTCCCGACCTCAGGTGATCCACCCACCTTGGCCTCCCAAAGTGCTGGGATTACAGGCGTGAGCCACGATGCCCGGCCTGCAATTTGGATTTTACTAAGAACAATAGGAATACTTAGGAGCTAAGTCATATGCAAGAGAGAGTGGAGAAGAACAGCTGGGTGGGGGTGCAGGGCACTGTGGCAAGGGCCACATTGGAGTGTTCTCATTCTTTCCGTGTCTCATACTTATACTGCTGTCTCTTGATAGTTTTCTTTTTATATGTTTATATTTTGCCTCCTTAATTATGTTTTAAATTTACCTAGGGCATAGGTTGTCTTAGGACTCCTTATATCCTCCATAATGCTTTGCCTTGGTAATTGATTAATATGGTAATTAATTCCATATGGTAATTGGTTAATAAATATTTATAATTGATCTGAACTTCCCTTCAGCATAAGCCCAAGTTTTTTCATTTTAAATTGTTTTGGCTGGCCGCTGTGGCTCACACCTGTAATCCTAGCACTTTGGGAGGCCGACGCGGGCGGATCACGAGGTCAGGAAATCGAGACCAACCTGGCTAACACGGTGAAACCCTGTCTCTACTAAAAATACAAAAAATTAGCCAGGCGCAGTGGTGGGCACCTGTAGTCCCAGCTACTCGGGAGGCTGAGGCAGGAGATGGTGTGAACCCGCGAGGCGGAGCTTGCAGTGAGCCGAGATAGCGCCACTGCAGTCCGGCCTGGGCGACAGAGCGAGACTCCATCTCAAAAAAAAAAAATTGTTTTGTTTTGTTTTTGGGACAGGGTCTCGCTCTGTCGCCTAGGCTGGAGTGCAATGACGTGATCATGGATCACTGCTGCCTCAACATCCAGGACTCAAGTGATCCTCCCACCTCAGCTTCTCAAGTAACTGGGACTACAGGTGCGTGCCACCATGCCCAGCTAATTTTTGTATTTTTTTGGTAGAGATAGGGTCTCACCATGTTGCCCAGGCTGGTCTCCAACTCCTGAGCTCTAGTGATCCTCCCACCTGGGCCTCCCAAAGTGCTGGGATTACAGATATAAGCCACCATGCCTGGTTTTGTTATTCCCTGTCTTTTGTATAAAAGCCATATTAACTGGGGTGAGATGATATTTCATTGTAGTTTTGATTTGCATTTCTCTGATGATCAGTGACATTGAGCACCTTTTCATATAGCTATTTGCCATTTGTATGTCTTCTGTGAACCCAGAGAATCTGAGACAGGTCTGAGTTAGTTTAGAGAGTTTATTTTGCTGCCGGGCGCAGTGGCTCATGCCTGTAATCCCAGCACTTTGGGAGGCCAAGGTGGGCAGATCACAAGGTCAGGAGATTGAGACCATCCTGGCCAACATGGTGAAACCCCGTCTCTACTAAAATACAAAAAAAAAAAAAATTAGCCGGGCATGGTGGCACGTGCCTGTAGTCCCAGCTACTCAGGAGGCTGAGGCAGGGGAATTGCTTGATTCCAGGAGGTGGAGGTTGCAGTGAGCTGAGATCGCGCCACTGCACTCCAGCCTGGGGACAGAGCAAGACTCTGTCTCAAAAAAAAAAAAAAGAAAGTTTATTTTGCCAAGATTGGGGATACGCCCGTGACACAGCCTCAGGAAGTCCTGACGACGTGTGCCCAAGGTGGTTGGGGCACAGCTTGGTTCTACACATTTTGGGAGACATGAGACATCTATCAGTATATGTAAGAAGAACATTGGTCCAGTCTGGAAAGGCGGGACAACCTGAAGCAAAGACAGGAAGACTAAGCAAAGCAAGGAGTGGGCTTCCAGGTCACAGATAGGTGAGACACAAATGGTTGCATTCTTTTGAGTTTCTGATTATCCTTTCCAAAGGAGGCAATCAGATATGCATCTATCTCAGTGAGCAGAGGAGTGACTTTGAATAGAATGAAAGGCAGGTTTGCCATAAGCAGTTTCCAGTTTGAGTTTTCCTTAGTGATTTTGGAGGCCCAAGATATTTTCCTTTCACACTTCTTTTGAGAAATGTCTTTTCAGATATTTTGCCCATTTTTAAATAAGATTATTAGATTTTTTTCCTATAGAGTAGTTTGAACTTTTTATATATTCTGGTTATTAATCCCTTGTCAGATGGATAGTTTGCAAATATTTTCTCAGCAAGGCAATTTTACTTCTATAAAAGGGTGTGACTCACTGATGGAGCAATGGCGAGAGCACATCTGAACAAGGGAGGGGAAGGGGGTTTTATTCCTGACTCAAGTAGCCCCTACTGCTGTGTCATTCCCCTATTGGCTAGGGTTGGACTGCACAGTCTAAGCTAATTCCGACTGGCTATTTTAAAGAGAGCAGGGTTATGAGTCGGAGTGGTGGAGTGAGTAGTTTGGCAGGAAGGATGGTTAGGAACAGGTGACTAAAGGTGACTCAGGTCAGAGCAGGTGACCAGGGGTGACTTAGGACAGAGCAATTGACCAGGGGAGACTCAGCATGGAGTAGATGACCAGGGGAACAGATGTAAACTACTGATTAGAACTGATGGAAAAGGTTGTTTACTGAAACTAGGGGCAAGAAAGCAAGAAGAAGGAGGAAGTTAACCTTTAAAATGGAGAACAAAGAACAGGGGAGCTGAACATACTGATACATTGGTTCCTTGGAGAGGATCTCAAAACTCATTGTACTTAACAATTTACAGGCAGCTGGGCACTATGGCTCACACCTGTAATCCCAGCACTTTGGGAGGCCGAGGTGGGTGGATCACGAGGTCAGGAGATCAAGACCATCCTGGCTAACATGGTGAAACCCCATCTCTACTAAAAATACAAAAAATTAGCCGGGCATGGTGGCGGGCACCTGTAGTCGCAGCTACTCAGGTGGCTGAGGCAGGAGAATGGCGTGAACCTGGGAGGTGGAGCTTGCAGTGAGCCGAGATCATGCCATTGCACTCCAGCCTGGGTGACAGAGCGAGACTCCGTCTCAAAAAAAAAAAAAAAAACAATTTACAGGCTAAAACCTTTGAAGAGGAATTTATTATATCCTACAGTTGACTGTGCTTGTGTGGTATTACTCAAGAAATCTTTACCCAGTCCAGTGTTCTACAGAGTTTCCCCAATGCTTCCTTTTAGTAGTTTCATAGTTTGAGGTCTTAGATTTAAGTCTTTAATCCATTTTTATTTGATTTTTGTATATGGTGAGAGATAGGGGTCTAATTTCATTCTTCTGCTTATGGATATCCCATTTTCCCAGCACCATTTACTGAAGAGACCGTCCTTTCTCCAATGTATGTTATTGGCACCTTTGTCGAAAATGAGTTCACTGTAGGTGTGTGGATTTGTTTCTGAGTTTTATATTCTGTTCCATTGGTCTATGCATCTGTTTTTATGCCCATACCGTGCTGTTTTGGATACTATAGCTCTATAGTATAATTTGAAGTCAGGTTATGTGGTTCCTTTAGTTTCGTTCTTTTTGCTCAAGATAGCTTTGGCTATTCTGGGTCTTTTGTGGTTCCATATAAATTTTAGGGTTGTTTTTCTATTTCTCTGAAGAATGTCATTGGTATTTTGATAGGAATTGCATTGATTCTGTAGATTGCTGTGTTTAGTATGGACATTTTAACAGTACTGATTCTTCCAACTCATGAACATGCAATATCTTTCTGTTTTTTGTGTGTCCTCTTCAATGTATTTCATCAATGTTTTATAGTTTTCATTGTAGAGATCCTTCACTTCTTTGGTTAAGTTAATTTCTAGGTCTTTAATTTTATTTGTAGCTATTGTAAATGGGATTAATTTTTGAATTTCTTTTTCAGATTGTTCCCTGTCGGTATTTAGAAATGCTGCTGATTTTTGTATGTTGATTTTGTATCCTGCAACTTTACTGAATTTGTTTATCAGTTCTAATAGCTTTTTGGTGGAGTCTGGGTTTTTCCAAACATAAGATCTTATTATCAGCAAACAAGGATAATTTGACTTCCTCCTTTTCAATCTGGATGACCTTTATTTATTTCTCTTGTCTGATTGCTCTAGCTAGGACTTTGAGAATTATGTTGAATAACAGTGGTGAAAGTGGGCATACTTGTTCCAGATCTTAGAGGAAAGACTTTCAGTTTTTCCCCATCTAGTATGATACTAGCTGTGGGTCTGTTGTGTATGGTTTTTATGTTGGGTTATGTTCCTTCTATACCCAATTTTTTGAGGGTTTTTTTTTTATCATAAATGAACGTTGAATTTTATCAAATGCTTTTTTCAGCATCAATTGAAATGATCATATGTTTTTTGTCCGTTCTGTTGATATATCACATTGATTTGTATATGTTGAACCATCCTTGCATCCCTGAGACGAATCCTACTTGGTCATGATGAATGATCTGTTTAATGTATTGTTGAATTTGGTTTGCTAGTATTTTGTTGAGGATTTAAGCCCAAGTTTTACACCCGCGGTCACATTGTTCCCAGACCAAACTGAGGATCAGGCTGCTTATTCTTATGGCCCAATAATGAGATGCAAATGAACTGGGAAAGGAGGGAGTTTTTGTTTCCGTAACCGGTTACAGGGAGAAGACCTGGAAAATAACACCAGACCAACTCAAAATTACAAAGTCTTCCAGAACTTATATACCTTCTCAGCTATATGTTTATTGTAAGTGTGCATTCATCTAACGACATAAGTCACTTTGAGAGGCCGAGGTGGGTGGAACACTTGAAGTCAGGAGTTCAAGACCATCCTGGCCAACATGGCGAAACCTTGTCTCTACTAAAAATACAAAAATTAGCTGGGCATGGTGGCACACGCCTGTAGTCCCAGCTACTCAGGATGCTCAGGCAAGAGAATCACTTGAACCAGGGAGGCAGAGGTTGCAGTGAGCCGAGATTGTGCCACTGGACTCCAGCCTGAGCAACAGAGTGAGACTCCATCTCAAAAAAATAAAATAAAAATTTTTAAAAATATATAAGTGATTAACTTCTTTTGATCTATAACTAAGATCTGAGTCCTAAAGACATTCCTCTGGAGCCTCAGTAAATTTACTTAATCTAAATGGGTCCAGGTGCTGGGGTGATTACCCTTATCTTATCTCCTGCTAAATCATGGAGGTTTGGGGAGTTCCTTCAGACCCCCAATAACTTGTTTGTGGAGACCTAGGGAGTTTCTTCAGGCCCCCAGTAAAACTCGTTTAATCCTAAACAGGTACTGTTAAGAATTTCTTCATTATCTTGTCATGCTTCAAGGCCCAGGAAAGGCCTGGGCAAAACTCTTGGTGGCCTTTTGTTACATTCCAGCCTTTGTATAAGGGCACTTTCAGCTTTTAATATTTAACTTAACCACTCAGTCAGTGCTGAAACAGTTGTTATGGAGGCCTGCATTAGTAAGACCTGGCCTGCCACAACATAGTATCTGGGATTTGTAGAAACCGACATGATGAAAATGTTTTTATTGCCTCTTCCAATTCCCTGTCTAACTTGTCCACCAAAAACATCTACTGGGTATACTCAATAACAATGGAAGATTTTTGTGGCTGTCACCAAAGCTCTAACAACAAGAACATATCTAGTGCATTAGGATATAAATGGCTGGGAATTTAAATTAATTGCAAACATCACAAATAAGATTATAAATGGTCCTTGATTTACAGTTACTTATACTGGGATCAGTGTTATGTAAACACTATAAACAAAGTGAAATAAGGTTACAAACATGCATTTAATTTTACCTCATTTTACTTCAGACATATTGTTGGGATCACCAAAGACCTAAAAAAAATGTTTATTACTCCTTTATAGTTTATAGGTATAAGTGATTATTAGCTTCTTCCAGAATACTTTTGCAGGTGCACTTAGTTTGCTTCCCTATGAATTTGCTAATTTCAGAAAGCTAACAACTCCTGGCTAGGCATGGTGGCTCATGCCTGTAATCCTATCACTTTGGGAGGCCGAGGCAGGCATATCACTTGAGGTCAGTAGTTTGAAACCAGCCTGGCCAACATGGTGAAACCCCGTCTCCACTAAAAATACAAAAATTAGCTAGGTATGATGGCTCGCGCCTGTAATCACAGCTACTCAGGAGACTGAAGGAGGAGAAAACAAAAAAAAAGCTAACAACTCCTTTAGAAGAAAGTAGATTTTAAACTGTATATACTTTCCAGGTAAGATTTGAAAAGAAAAAGAAAACCTATGCCAACAAAAAACCTTTGGTCGATATTTCTCTTCTGGGCCCTTGAAGTTACCTTTTTGACCCTTTGGTTCATGTAGTCAAATTTATCATTTAACAACATGTGATTAATAATATAATAAACTATTTCATATTGAGGAATGAGGGGTATGAAGAGAGTGAATTAATTCACTTTGCAGTTATTGAATTATAATTCAGTGATATTATCTATTACAGGTCTATTTTTATAGATCTGAGAACAAAAGGACTCACAAAGCTTAGTTCCTAGTTTTTCTCTTGTAACTGATTTGCTGCATAAGCTCAAGTCATTTGCCTAATCTCTGTTTGCCAGTGTCTTACGTTGTAAAATGTAAAACAGGCCATAAAAACTAGCTTCCAAGGTTATTGTAAAGTTTTGATAATTTAATAGTTAAAGTCATTACTGCCTCACATTTCTATGACCATTATCACTACCTATGGTAAGTTGAGGCACTTATGAATAAACAAATCTTGTATAGACTTTAAATGGTTGCTAGCATCCTCTAGAATACCTTCACAGGTACATTGTTTGGCTTCTCTGTTAATTTACGGAAGATATTATGTTTTGTAGTGGTTGTCTAAACTTTTTTAGAATTGACTTATTGGATCCTTAATCTTGGCATACTCCAGCCGTCCAGATCGCCTTAGGGACATTGCTGATCGCTTTAATGTAGACCATGATGCAGTACTGGACAACGTACTTTATGCACGTGCATATACTAGTAAGAGCCCCATGCAGTTGGATGCTTGGGTCAATGTAAGGTTGGCAGCACTGATTTACTACTTGAGGGATACAACATTTTGATACTTTTTTTCTATTTTATTTTTCTCTAAATTAATTTACTCAGTCTATAAATTTTATCATCTGGTAAGTCCTTAGATAATAAAGTGCCCTCAAATTATTTATTATTCTTTGTCTTTGAAATTAAGAGTAACATTCTTTTTGGATAATGTAGCATTTGGTATACATGCTAAGGCAGAATATGCAATAATTTTTTTTTTTTTTTGAGATGGAGTCTCGCTCTGTCACTCAGGCTGGAGTGCAGTGGTATGATCTCGGCTCACTGCAACCTCCAACTCCTGGCTTCAAGTGATTCTCCTACCTCAGCCTCCCAAGTCGCTGGGATTACAGGCACACGCCACCACACCCAGCTAATTTTTGTATTTTTTAGTAGAGTCAGGGTTTCACCATGTTGGCAAGGCTGGTCTTGAACTCCTGACCCCAAGTGATCCACCTGCCTCGGCCTCCCAAAGTGTTGGGATTATAGGCATGAGCCACCATGCCCTGCTGCAATAATATTTAATAAAGTCATCAATAATTAAGAAAATCCTTCAAGGAATTTATTTTGCCTGGCTCCCAAGAATATGAATGATCTTAGCCTCTGCTTCTTTCAACTTTTATAACATTTTCTCACTGCATTTCCCATCAGGTGAACATCAGATGGAGCTACTTGATTATGTAGCAGCAAAGTTCCATGAAGAAGCTGGCATCTTCAAGCTATTGGTACAAGCTTTTAAATATTGCTTTCACAGAGCTATTTAGCATAATATTTTTCTTCTATTGATCTCTATTCAAATAACGTCTTCCTTCAATTTCCAAATGCATGTTTATTTTTACATTAATCCTGTGTAGATTATCGATTCAATAATGGCACTTTTTCGAGTGGATTTCAGTGGCCGTGGGGAGTTGGCCGAACGGCAGCAAAAATTGGCCCAGATGTTGTCACGACTCCAAAAAATCTCAGAAGGTATATCTTTAAAATAAAATGGCATCTGTGACTATGTTTGTCAAGTATACTTTGCAGAGAAGCTTGGAATATAATGTCAGGAGGCAGCGATTTTTTTTTAAATAAAATTACCTTTATGAGAATACAACTCTTTGTTTTTTTTTTGTTTTTTGAGATGGTATCTCGCTCTGTTGCCCAGGCTGGAGTGCAGTGGTGCGATCTCGGCTCACTGCAACCTCCGCCTCCCAGGTTCAAGCAATTCTTCCTCCTTAGCCTCCTGAGTAGCTGGAATTACAGGCACCTGCCATCACACCAGGCCAATTTTTTGTATATTTAGTAGAGACGGGGTTTCACCATGTTGGCCAGGCTGGTCTCGAGCTCCTGACCTCGTGATCTGTCCGCCTCAGCCTCCCAAAGTGCTGGGATTACAGGCATGAGCCGCTGAGCCCGGCTTTACAACTCTTTTTAAACCAAAAATATTTATTCTAACCTTAATAATAATAATAACAAATAATTTCTGTTGTCAATGAAAAATAGGAATATGATGTTATTTATAAAATAAATTCATGATGCAATATGTCTAAACTCTGAAATCTAAACAATGAACTTTTAAATATCTATATTGCCTTTCTCATAGTTTTAAAATTTTATCTCTTGATGCAGAATATAACGTGGCTGTTTTTGTGACCAATCAAATGACTGCCGATCCAGGAGCAACTATGACGTAAGCCCCAATATTCTACTTTTTATTTCACAGAGGTTAATATAAAGAGGGTTAGAGCGTAGAATAGAAAATAATTTCAAGGCCGGGCACGGTGGCTCACGCCTGTAATTCCAGCACTTTAGCAGGCTGAGGCAGGCGGATCACGAGGTCAGGAGATGGAGACCAGCCTGACTAACATAGTGAAACCCCGTCTCTACTAAAAATACAGAGATTAGCCGGGTGTGGTGGCGCACACCTGTAATCTCAGCTACTCCGGAGGCTGAGGCAGAAGAATCACTTGAACCTGGGAGGTGGAGGTTGTAGTAAGCCGAGATCGCGCCATTGTACTCCTGTCTGGGAAACAGAGCAAGATTCTATCTCAAAAAGAAAAAAGAAAAAAGAAAAGAATTTAAAAATCATTAGTCTTTATGTGGGCACAAATATATCACAAATCACTTTATTACTGGGCGCAGTGGCTCATGCCTGTAATCCCAACACTTTGGGAGGCCTAGATGGTTGGATCACCTGAGGTCAGGAGTTCAAGACCAGCCTGGCCAACATGATGAAGCCTCGTCTCTACTAAAAATACAAAAAATTAGCTGGGCGTGGTGGCGTGCACCTGTAATCCCAGCTATTCGGGAGGCTGAGGTGGGAGAATCACTTGAACCTGGGAGGCGGAGGTTGCAGTGAGCCAAGATCATGCCATTGCACTCCAGCTTGTGCAACAAGAGCAAAACTGCATCTCAAAAAAAAAATCACTTTATTGCACAGTGTATATGACTTCATAATTGTAAATATCACTTGGTAACCAGAATCTATTTTTCTCTAGTTCTTTATAGAATAAAGCAATACTTTAACCATTTTCAGCAGTACTTTGGGCTTCTCTTTGGTCTAGGGCTAAAGGGGTATGGGAGGACAATAAGAAATAGATCCTAGGGAAATAAAAACTTATATTGCAGCTTATCAGTATAATAAACACCATTCATAAAAACAAAAAAGTCATCTTTCTACAGGATATACATGAGATATATTTATCAGAGGCACTATGGGAGAAGTCTCCTGTTTGAAGAAAAAGAATTTCAGTTCACACTAGGCATATTCAGAATTTGTTGAAGTGTTTGTGCACATAACTATTGATGACTCTGAAAGACGGCAGTGAATAGAAACACACAGAGAGCTAAAGTAGGATAATAAAAATAGATAAATCAAACAAAGGTTTGTTGCCACCGTAACAAATTTTGAGCATTATGTGTCTGAATAAGCAATCAAAATAATCCTAAATACACACCACTGCACTCCAGCCTGGGAGACAGAGCAAGACTGTCTCAAACAAAGCAAAACAAATCTAAATTCATGATAATGCTTTTTTAAAGTGTGTGTGTGTTTTTTTTTTTTAAGAGACAAGGTTTCACTCTGTCACCCAAGCTGCAATGCAGTGGCACCATCTCTGCTCACTGCAACCTCTGCCTCTCAGGCTCAGGTGATGCTCCAGCCTCAGCCTCCCGAGCAGCTGGGAGGCACACATCGCCACGCCTGGCTAATTTTTTTATTTTTAGAAGAGACAGGGTTTTGCCATGTTGGCCAGGCTGGTCTCGAACTCCTGGCCTCAAGCGATCCTCCCACCTCAGCATCCCAAAGTGCTAGGATTACATGTGTGAGCCCCCTTGCCTAGCCAAAAAGCTTTTAAAAAAATCTTTTAAAGGCTGGGTGCAGTGGGCAGTGGCTCACTGTAATCTCAGCACTTTGGGAGGCCGAGGTGGGAGGATCACCTGAGGTCAGGAGTTCAAGACCAGCCTGGACAACATGGCAAAACCCTGTCTTTACTAAAAATAAAAAAACTAGCCAGGCATGGTGGTGTGCACCTGTAGTCCTAGCTTCTTGGGAGGCTAAGACAGGAGGATCACTTGAACCTGGGAGGCAGAGGTTGAAGTGAGCCAAGATCGTGCCACTGCACTCCAGCCTGGGTGACAGAACAAGACTCCGTCTCAAAAACAAAAAAAAAAAAGATTTTTTTAAAGGTTTTTATTTAGAAAATATTTTTACCAGAGAGAAGTTAAAAAACTAGTGCAATGAATTCATGCCACTGCATTTCAGCCTGGGAGACAGAGCAAGACATACTCATTTATCTAGGTTCATCAGTTGTTAAATTTGCCACATTTTTTCTCTCTCCTGTATGTGTGTGTGTGTGTGTGTGTGTGTGTGGAGGTGTACATACACCTTTGTTTCTCCACACATACACACATTCTCATATGTATATGTATGTGGTATGTGTATACGGTTTTTTGTTTGTTTTTCTTTTTCTTTTTTTTTTTTTGAGACGGAGTCTCGCTCTGTCACCCAGGCTAGAGTGCAGTGGCACGATCCCAGCTCACTGCAGTCTCCGCCTCCCAGGTTCAGGCGATTCTCCTGCCTCAGCCTCCTGAGTAGCTGGAATTACAGGCACCTACCACCACACCCGGCTAATTTTTTGTATTTTTAGTAGAGACGGGGTTTCACCGTGTTAGCCAGGATGGTTTCTATCTCTTGACCTCACGATCCACCTGCCCCGGCCTCCCAAAGTGCTGGGATTACAGGCATAAGCCACTGTGCCCAGCCTCTTTTTTTTTTAGATGGAGTTTCACTCTTGTTTCCCAGGCTGGAGTGCAATGGTGCGATCTCAGCTCACTGCAACCTCCACCTCCTGGGTTCAAGCAATTCTCCTGCCTCAGCCTCCCGAGTAGCTAGGATTACAGGCACCTGCCAACCACCCCTGGCTAATTTTTTTTGTATTTTTAGTAGAGACAGGGTTTCACCACGTTGGCCAGGCTGGTCTCGAACTCCCGACCTCAGGTGTTCCACCCACCTTGGCCTCCCAAAGTCCTGGGATTACAGGCATGACCCACCGCACTCAGTCGTGTTTGTTTGTTTTTTGAGACAGAGTCTTGCTCTGTCACTCAGGCTGGAGTGCAGCAGCACCATCTCAGCTCACTGCAACCTCTGCCTCCTGGGTTCAAGCAATTCTCCTGCCTCAGCCTCCCGAGTAGCTGGGATTACAGGCGCCTGCCACCATGGCCGGCTAATTTTTGTATTTTTAGTAGAGACGGGGTTTCTTCATGTTGGCCAGGCTGGTCTCGAACTCCTGACCTCAGGTGATTCGCCCACCTCAGCCTCCCAAAGTGCTGGGATTACAGGTGTGAGCCACTACGCCCAGCCTGTATATGTATTTTTTGGTGAACCATTTGAGAAGTTTCTTCTGAACCACTGAAAATTATTCACAGACATCATGACACTTCACCTCTTAATACTTCAGCATATCTCTTCTAAGAATAATGATGTTCTTCTACATAGCCACAATATAATTATCACATTCAGAAATTCTAACATTGGCATAATAATGTTATCTAATATACAGTTGTATTCAAGTGTCTCCAGTTGCCCCAATAATGTCCTTTATAGTTGTTGGGGGTTTTTTTGTTTTGCATTCAATTCAGGATCAATTGAAGAACATGCACTGCGTGTAATTGTCATGTCTCTTTAGTCTCCTTTAATCAGAACAGCTCTTCAACCTTTGTTAGACTTTTATGACACCGACATTTTTGTAGAACACAGACCAACTGTTTTGCAATGTCCCTCAATTTGAAGTTGAATTTTTTCTTCATTACTTAAAATGTTAAGCATTTTGACAGGAAAACTACATAAGCAATATTATGGCCTTCTCAGTATATCATATCAGGAGGCACATGATGGCAGTTTGTCCCATTATTAGTGATGTTAATTCTGATCATATGATTAAGATGATATTCACATGATGTCTCCATTGTAAAAGAAAATTACAAAAATTCTCTTTTATATTTAATTAGTAATTTGTGGTGTGATAATTTGAGACTGTGTAAATATCTTGCTCTGCAATAAGCTTTCATGCATTTATATTAGCATCCATTGAAGATTCTTGCCTAAATTAATTAGAGTAAATTAATTATTACTCTGATGGTTGCAATACAAAGTGCTATTACTTTAAAACAGAAGCAATGCATCATATGGTAGCAGATTAAATGTATCATTGACAGATATATTAAAAGATATTTGATATGCTGGAGTAAATTCTGTAAATTACATTGAAATGAATGTGTCTCTCTTTAAGCATTTTCCAAATTTACCCTTAACAATTTTGCTTCATCTTTCGCAGTTTGATATCTATCTCTCACTTTTCAAGACTCTTTTTTTTTTTTTTTTTTTTTGTGATGGAGTCTCGCTCTGTCACTCAGGCTGAAGTGCAATGGCGCGATCTCGGCTCACTGCAAGCTCCGCCTCCCAGGTTGATGCCATTCTGTCACCTCGGCCTCCCTAGTAGCTTGGGACTATAGGCGCCCGCCACCACACCCGGCTAATTTTGTTTTTGTGTTTTAGTAGAGACGGGGTTTCACCGTGTTAGCCAGGATGGTCTCGATCTCCTGACCTCGTGATCCATCTGCCTCAGCCTCCCAAAGTGCTGGGATTACAGGCATGAGCCACCGCGTCTGGCCTCAAGACCCTTTTATAAGTATTTTCTACTTAGTTACAAGAGATTCCTGTGAAAAATATTAACTACTCAAATGTTATTAAGCAAGTTAAAAAGATTGAGCAGGGGAAATCATTTATTCACTCAATGAATATTTATTGAAAATCTACTATGTAACAATATTCTGAGAATTCACTAGTGAACAAAAAAGACAAAAATCCTGGCCTCGGCCAAGCACGGTGGCTCACGCCTGTAATCCCAGCACTTTGGGAGGCCGAGGCAGGAGGATCGCTTGAGCCCAGGAGCCTAAGTCACATAGACAGACCTCGTCTCTAAAAAAAATTAAAAATTAGCCAAGCATGGTGGCACATGCCTGTAGTCCTAACTACTTGGGAGGCTGAGGCAGGAGGATTGCTTGAGCCTGGGAGGTCAAGGCTGCAGTGAGCCATGTTTGCACCACTGCACTCCAGCCTGGGCAAGAGAGTGAGAACCTGTCTCAAAAAAAAAAAAGTCTTGTGAACGGGTGTGGTGGCTCACTCCTGTAATCCAGCACTTTGGGAGACCAAGGTCAGTGGATCACGAGGTCAGGAGATCGAGACCAGGCTGGCCAACATGGTGAAACCCTGTCTCTACTAAAAATATAAAAATTAGCCGGGCGTAAATGCGCGTGCCTGTAATCCCAGCTACTTGGGAGGCTGAGGCAGAAGAATCGTTTGAACCCGGGAGGGGAGGTTGCAGTGAGCCGAGATCACACCCCTGCACTCCAGCCTGGGTGACAGAGTGAGACTCTGTCTCAAAAAAGAAAAAAAAAAAAAAAGAAAGACAATAAATGATGTCCATTCAACTCAAAATTTTAGTCTTGGTAAGTCACACATTGTCTATAGTATAGTCGCTGAGTGGTTAAGGCAATCATCTCTGTTTTATGGGATGACTTTCATACACAGGACATGAAGTGCTTCACAAAGAGAATAATTTTAAACTGAAGAGAAATGGAAGATTTTTAAGGCTCGTTTTAAAAAGAGAAAATGACTCATTGGCTCAGAGGGAGGAAGTGGGTTGCATTCAAATAAAACAGTACAAGTTAAAGAGCAATGTTCTTTCTTCAGGTGTCGGGAGGGAACATTGAAGAGGCCAAAACTGTCACTCTAGAGTTAGAAGGCAAAGGAAATCAGCGGAAATTAGGTCAGATAGGGGTTCTTTTTCTTATATTTGTAGAAAGTTTCAAAAAGAGTAAAACAATTTTGAATTAATTCCAATAAGACAATGAAAGAAATAGAGAGATGACAGATAATTGAAGAGGGAGTTGGAATGGGGAGGAGACTGAAAATGAGGAAGCTAAGTAAAGTGCTAGACAAAGTAACAAAGGCTAGTATTTTTACTGGGTAAGTCAACTCTGAAACATCATCTCCTCCACCTAGCTGAATTGTTAGGAAACAAGGTTCACTATAATTGGTATGTTAATAAAGTATATTAAATTATAACAATACAAATTAAATGCTTGTCTTTATATAAAGCACAAAAGTTGCCACAGCTAAATGGGAAAAAAAAGGACAATTTTAAACTAAAGGATTTTAAATACTATTAGGAAACCTCCCATAAAGAAAATATCTTTGTTTCTCAGTGTTGAGAAACTCCAAGCTGCAGTTCCCCTGGGGCCTGTCAGGGAACTATCACTATAATTGGTATGAGTCCGCAAGTACACTGACAATAATTGGGGCTTATATCCCATGCATTATACTTGATTGCACATCTTATTAAAAAGGAACGAAATTATAGAAGCGAGGAGCTGCCATACGATATAGCAAGAGGAGTAGCTCCTAGATGAGGCTTACAGATACAGACTTTAGAACTGGAATGATCCAGTTGATGAAGACTTGGAGATAAAAAGTCAAAGTATCAGTCCATAAAGTCCCACACTGGGGCAAATAACAAGATGAACAACAAATAAGACCATGATGTTGCCACCTACTTCATTTGTGTATTTGTTTTGGGAAAACAAAAAGTCACCGTAGAACATTTGCAGTCTTGTAAATATACAGTCAGTTTATTCTCTAAGGATGTCACCTTCTTTTTGTTTGTTTGTTGTCACCCAGGCTGGAGTGCAATGGCATGATCTTGGCTCACTGCAACCTCCGCCTCCCAGGTTCAAGAGATTCTCCTGCCTCAGCCTCCTGAGTAACTGGGATTACAGGAGCATGCCACCACACCTGGCTAATTTTTGTATTTTTAGTAGAGACAGGGTTTCACCATGTTGGCCAGGCTGGTCTTGAACTCCTGACCTCGGGCGATCCGCCCACCTCAGCCTCCCAAAGTGCTGGGATTACAGGTGTGAGCCACCACACCCGTCCTAAGGATGTCACCTTCTGATCCAACATCATTAGCATAAATTAAGAGGCAATATGATTAGAGAAAAAACATTAAACCAGGGTCACTAGCATAGTGACCTTGTACAAGTGATTTAAACTATTTGAACTGCATTTTCCTCCCTCTCAAAATTAATTTATGTTTATTGATTACTTACCATGTGCCAGGTGCTTTTATGCATCATCTTATCTAATTCTCATGTGACCCCAATGTAACTCACAGCCTCCTTGGACCTCCCTGTTGCTTTTGTGAAGCCAATCTCAGTAAGTTGTTGAATCCCTCCCCATCTCACCTCCCCCCGCAAAAAAGAACCCAGAATTCCATCTTTAAAATGTTGAAAAAAGTGTATATTTTTCTGCATATTTTGGGAGAAGACAGAGGGGAGAATTACTTAACAAAACTTCTTAAACATACCCTTTTTTTTTTAACCACCTCTTCTCTTTCCTCAAAATTCTTCTTTGGCGGTACTCCCCTTTCCCCCATCTTCCCAAAATCTCAAAGCCTCCCCTGCCAGGCATGGCTCACAACTGTAATCCCAGCACTTTGGGAGGCTGAGGCAGGTGGATCACCTGAGGTCAGGAGTTCGAGACCAGCCTGGCCAACATGGCAAAACTGCATCTTTATTAAAAATACAAAAATTAGCCAGGTGTGGTGGGGGGTTCCTGTAATCCCAGCTACTTGGGAGGCTGAGGCAGGGAGAATTGCTTGAACCCAGGAGGCTGAGGTTGCAGTGAGCTGAGATCATGTGACTGCACTCCAGCCTGGGCGACAGAGCAAGACTCCATCTCCAAAAAAGCCTCCTCATTCTTGGGCAAGTTCAATCTTTCTCTCCTCAATGGACCACTTCTCGAAAATGCCATCTGTAATCTCACTCCTTAGTAAGTAAAAAGCATCAGGAGTACTTATTGTCCCTCAAGCTTGCCCTTGCCCATGCCCCTCAAGATCCACACTCTAAGCAGTATTTAAGGTAGGCATGATGATTATTCCTAATTTATAAAGGTGGAAACAGAGGCTCAGAATACTTAGCGTTTGCCCAATTCCAGAATTTAAAAATGTGTGAGCCAGGATTTGAACCCAGGTATCTTTGACATCAAAGTTAATGCTACTTGAACCTCACTGTACCATCTTCCCCATCCTATACCATAACTCTATATATGTTTCATGACCCCAGCATCCTAATTTGACATTGCCAGGTCAGGCTGTTTTGGGTCTTACTCTCAACAATATAATATGCCATATCCTGTTCAACCAGAGGGGGAGAAGTGAAATATTCTCATCCCCTCTTTACTACTAATATCCACCCCCATCTCCTCCTCCTTGCCATACTCCCTAGTTCCCTGACAAAAGGAAAAAAGAAGAAGAGAAGAAAATATAAAAGAAGAAGAAATAAGATGATAGGCTCAAGGAGGTTTGTGGGTGGTTTTCTGAAGCTGTTTTTACTTGGTCAGAAATAGAAGAAAATTGGCCGGGTGCGGTGGCTCACGCCTGTAATCCCAGTGCTTTGGGAGGCCGAGGCAGGTGGATCATGAGGTCAGGAGTTCAAGACAAGCCTGGCCAAGATGGTGAAACCCCGTCTCTACTAAAAATACAAAAATTAGCAGGGCATGGTGGCACACGCCTGTAGTCCCAGCTACTTGGGAGGCTGAGGCACGAGAATCGCTTGAACCTGGGAGGCGGAGGTTGTGGTGAGCCGAGATGGTGCCACTGCACTCCAGCCTGGGCGATAAGAGCGAAACTCCGTCAAAAAAAAAAGAAAGAAAGAAAGAAATAGAAGAAAATTAAAGCCCTCTAAAAGAATGTGGAATGCTATTATACCTTCTTGTACTTCACCTCAAGACTTGGTTATAACTGCTGTAATAGTCAGGAAGTTCAAAGAAACTTTAAGAAAAGTTTCCTGGTCTACTTTTCACTGACAGAGTGACTGTTTTAGCTGAATTGTTTAGTTAAATAATAGTTATCCTATGTATTATTTTAGTTTAGTTTAGTTTTTGAGACAGGGTCTCTGTTGCCCAGGCTGGAGTGCAGTGGCATGATCTTAGCTCACTGCAGCCTTGGCCTCCCAGGCTCAAGTGATCCTCCCACCTCAGCCTCCAAGGCAGCACAGAACCAGGCACATGCCACCACACCGGGTTAATTTTTTGCATTTTTTGTACAGATAGGGTTTCACCCTGTTGTCAGCCTAGTCTCAAACTTGTGGGCCTCCAAGGGATCAAACAAGCAATCTGCCCACCTTGGCCTCCCAATGTGCTGGGATTACAAGCGTGAGCCACTGTGCCCAGCCAATAATTATCCTTTATCGAGGATCTCTTATGTGCCAAGATTGCCGTAAGGATAGAACAAATGTATGTAAGTGAACAGGTACAGTTCCTGGCACATAGGAGCCTTGTATGTATAATATTCAAGATTCAGGCCAGGCGCAGTGGCTCACACCTGTAATCCCAACACTTTGGGAGGCCAAGGCGGGCAGATTATTTAAGGTCAGGAGTTTGAGACCATCCTGGCTAACATGATGAAACTCTGTATCTCCTAAAAGTACAAAAGAATTAGCTGAGTGTGATGGCGCACACCTGTAATCCCAGCTACTCGGGAGGCTGAGGCAGGAGAATTGCTTGAGCCTGGGTGGTGGAGGTTGCAATGAGCCGAGATCATGCCACCGCACTCTAGCCTGGGTGACAGAGTGAGATTCTGTCTCAAAAAAAAAAAAAAAATTCAATATATATTGAATCCTTACAATGCCCTAAGAGGTAAAGTCTTTTTATTCCCATTTTATAGTGAAAGAAACTGAGGTTCATAAAGGTACCCCAAGGTAATATAGGTAATAAATGTTTAAGTCAGGATTAGGAAAGCAGGTAAATAATTGCAGTCACTGGAGTTATGCCTTACCTGAATTATTGCATTTTATTTTACAACTATTAAGTACAGTTATTATCCCCCATTAAAAATGAAGAAGTAAGGCTGGGCATGGTGGCTCACACCTGTAATCCCAGCACTTTGGGAGGCTGAGGCAGGTGGATCATCTGAGGTCAGGAGTTTGAGACCAGCCTGACTAACATGGCAAAACCCCATCTCTACTAAATATACAAAAATTATCCGGTATGGTGATGGGTGCCTATAATCCCAGCTACTTGGGAGGCTGAGGCAGGGAGAATTGCTTGAACCCAGGAAGCAGAGGTTGCAGTGAGCCAAGATCGTGCCATTGCACTCCATCCTGGGTGACAGAGCAAGACTCCGTCTCAAAAAAAAAAAAAAAAAAAAGGAGAAAAAGGAGGTCCAGTGCAGTGGCTCACACCTGTAATCCCAACACTTTGGGAGGCCGAGGTGGGCGGATCACTTGAGGTCGGGAGTTCAAGACCAGCCTGGCCAACATGGTGAATCTCTGTCTCTACTGAAAATATAAAAATTAGCTGGGCTTGGTGGCGGGCGCCTGTAGTCCCAGCTACTCCAGAGGCTGAGGCAGGAGAATTGCTTGAACTGGGGAGGCGGAGGCTGTAGTGAACTGAGATCCTGGCACTGAACTCTAGCCTGGATGGCAGAGAAAGATGCCGTCTAAAAAAAAAAATAAAAGAAGAAGGAGAGATTTAGAATGGTTAAACAATTTTCTTCAAGTCATATGGCTAAAAAGCCAGACAGAATTTGAACTCAGGTCTAACTCCATAGCTCATACAACACACAGTATATCAGGACTGCTTCTGCCTGGGGAATGGCTGGTATGCTGTCACCTGAGAGGTTTTGCAGGGATGTATCCATTTCTCCAGTGAATTGACCATAGTCCAGAGCCCTCAGCCTTGCAGGCAGAGATTTGATTTGGTCAGCTTACTAAGAACCAATCTGTTTCCTGGGGGCAGACACACATTAATCAAGCTCATGAGACTGAATGAAGAACCAGACGGCCAGTTTATTGATAACGAAAATGTAGCTACATTTGAGATTCATGTGACCAGCACATTCTCTCCCTGTAAGTAGACCTCAATAGGAATCCAAATTTTAATCTGAAATTATTTACTAGATATGGAATCCAAGCAAAGGGAAAAAAAATTGATGACTTAGAAGAATGTCTGCCACATAGCAAGGACTCAGTAAATCTTAGTTATTATTATTATTATTAATACCCATGTACACCAGAGAAGGGGTTATGAATTTCCCAGACTTACACAAAAATTTTTGTATGTGTGTATATGTGCCCTTTTTTTGGTGGGGAGGGGATGTTTTTATTAAATTATCAAAGTGTTAGTGACCTACAAGAAAGGTTAAGAGCCATAAATTTGGCCAGGCGTGGTGGCCCACGCCTGTAATCCCAGCACTTTGGGAGGCTGAGGTGGGCAGATCATGAGGTCAGGAGTTCGAGACCAGCCTGATTAACATAGTGAAACCCCGTCTCTACTAAAAATACAAAAATTAGCCGGGCGTGGTGGCATGTACCTGTAATCTACTACTAGCTACTCAGGAAGCTAAGCTAGGAGAATCGCTTGAACCCGGGAGGTGGAGATTGCAATGAGCCGCGATCACGGCATTGCACTCCAGCCTGGGCAACAGAGCAAGACTCCGTCTCAAAAAAAAAAAATCCATAAATTTGACACAAAATCCTGAACACCTTAGTGGAACAAACAAAATTTGTTTGTTTTCCTTTCTTTTAAACCTATGGATTATATCAAACAAACAAAATTTGAATTGGCTTGATAGTCTCCTGGAGTTAAGGCTGCTATGTCACAGCCTATTTTGATATAACTTCTTAGTTTATTAATCATTTGTTAGACTTTTTTATCCCCATAATATCTTTCTTTTTCTTTTTTTTTCTTTTATTTTATGTATTTTATTTTATTTTTGAGACAAGGTCTTGCTCTGTCACCCAGGCTGGAGTGACTGGAGTGTAGTGGCACAATGAACACTCACCGCAGCCTCAACTTCCTGGACTTGAGAGATCTTCCTGCGTCAGCCTCCTGAGTAGCCAGGACTCCAGGCATGCACCGCCATGCCCAGATAATTGTTGTATTTTTGTAGAGATGGGGTTTTACCATGTTGTCCAGACTGGTCTTGAACTCCTGGGCTCAAGGGATCTACCTGCCGCAGCCTCCCAAAGGGCTGGGATTACAGGTGTGAGCCACTCTGCCCAGCCTCATTCCTATATGTTTTCTTTGCCCTTTTGCAAATGCTATAATTTATTTCCCCATTTGGGTGATTCAAAATCATCTCCTTTTGGAAATAATGTTCTTAACATTCAGGCTCTTCACCTACAGTAATGACAAGCAATTGTCTCTATTCTTTTTTGCACATTGGGTACCACACTAGTAACAGCAAACAATAGTTTGCTAAGAAAAAAAAATCATGGCTATACATCTAGAAGCTCTAGCTTCCCAGTCTTGTTTAGGTTATCTATAATGGCATGGGAGGCATGGTGCTTCAACTGGGGGAATCTATCTTCTTTTATATTTGCCTCTGTCAGAACACTCTTCAAAAGTTCCCTGAATTACAGTTTTGAAGATATGACACAAATCTGTGTCCAAGAAGGACCTAGACCAGGGAGTCCCAAATTGTCATCTCTGTATTCATTCTGCAATATTTATGGAGTACCCTGTATATTATAGGCACTTTTCCAGGCGCTGGAGTTTCAAAGATGAACAGATATTTAGAGTATAGTTGGGGAATAAGACCCATACATTTAAAATTACCATGTAGTGTGCTTAATTAATTAATTAATTTATTTATTTATTTTGAGACGTAGTCTGGCTCTTGTTGCCCAGGCTGGAGTGCAATGGTGCGATCTCAGCTCACCACAACCTCTGCCTCCCAGGTTCAAGCGATTCTCCTGCCTCCGCCTCCTGAGTAGCTGGGATTACGGGCATGTGCCACCACACCCGGCTAATTTTGTATTTTTAGTAGAGACGGGGTTTCTCCATGTTGGTCAGGCTGATCTTGAACCCCTGACCTCAGGTGATCCGCCCGCCTCGGCCTCCCAAAGTGCTACTGCGCCCACCTGTAGTGTGCTTTAATAAAAGAATACAGACTGTTGGAAAGCACAGAGGGGGCCAGTTTTCTACTGTTTCAGGGAACCAGGCAAGGGTTCCTAGAAGGGAGGACACTTGAAGGCTGTGTAGGAGCTGAATGAGCAGACACGGTGGGGAAAGGAGCTTTCATTTCAGAGGGAGTAATGTGTGCAAAGTCATCAAGGATAAGAAGACTTTCTGAAATCAGAAAAAAGGAAGTTTTAGAGGGAAGGAGAAAACATGAGTACAACTGTAGTTAAGTATATAGGTGGTGGACAGAAAGAAGAAGTTGAGGAAGTGTCCTCCTGAGAGCCCTTATTTTCTTTTTTATTTATTAGTTTTATTTTATTTTATTTTGTTTTATTTTATTTTTTTGAGACGGAATCTCGCTCTGTCGCCTGGGCTGGAGGGCCACCGGTGGCGCGATCAGCTCACTGCAACCTCTGCCTCCTGGGTTCAAGTGATTCTTCTGCCTCAGCTTCCTGAGTAGCTGGGACTGCAGGTGCACGCCACCACACCCAGCTAATTTTTGTATTTTTAGTAGAGACAAGGTTTCACCATATTGGCCAGGCTGGTCTCAAACTCCTGACCTTGCAATCTGCCTGCCTCAGCCTCCCAAAGTGCTGGGATTACAGGCATGAGCCACTGTGCCCGGCCAAGCCCTTATTTTCTTTATAAAGTAGCAGGCAATGTCATCCAAGGTGAGGGGATAAGAATGGAAAAGGGGGCTTAAGGAGACTACTGAAGGTGAGGCAGTAAAGCCAACCATGCTCACACAGGAGAATGAGCAGCATTGAGAGACTAGCTGGGAGAAGCAGTAGCATTGTGTTCAGACTTCTCTCTGCCCATTTAGCTAACCTTGACTATCCGTTCTTAGCTCCTTTTGATAGAAATTTCCAACTGGTCTCAATTTTATTTTTTCTTAACTTCTGTGAAAACACCAATCTTTTTGCAGTCCAATATTCCCCTTGGAATTGTTGTAGCATAAATATCTTAAGCTGAAAAAACTATTTTTTTTTTTCTGAGACAGAGTCCCACTCTGTCACCCAGGCTAGAGTACAGTGGCGCAATCTCAGCTCACTGCAGCCTCCGCCTTCCGAGTTCAAGCGATTCTCCTGCCTCAGCCTCCCACGTAGCTGAAAAAACAATTTTGAACACCCACTGTGTGCCTGGTTGTGCAGAACTAAACACAATATAGTCTGCCCTTAAGGAGCTTAGTGATAGAGAATAAGAGAGGAATTGAGAAGGAATACAATAAGTAAATAAATAATAGTACTAAAGGCAGAACATGAAAAGTACATTACAGAAGCATAAATACAGTGTTTGCAGGCTCGGAGTTCATAGCTCAGTTGAGAATATCCTCAGGGTCTCAAGCAGCCCATCTATATAGAACATAAGATTATTTTAAAACCATGAAGAACCACCTGTAAGGTAGGGTGACCTGAAAAGTTAAGTGGCATCGATCTGTAAGCATTATAGAGACAACTCACTTATCTAGCTATTTTATCCAACTGAGAAGGCTTTATTGCTTTACTACCATGTCAGGTGCCTGGCAAAGCAACCCAGCTTTCTGACTTCTTAACTGCCGCCGTTAGTCTCAACTGTCTGGCTACTACTTTCTTGATAGTGGTTCACTCCAAAACTAACTCTTTGTCCTTGTTCCTATGTTGGACCTGCTGCATTTGCATTTAAAACATTTTTTTAAAAATGTTTTTAAGAGGGCCTCACTATGGTGCCCAGGCTAGCCTCTGAATTCCTGGGCTCAAGTGGTCCTCCTGCTTCAGCCTCTCAAGTAGCTGGGACTACAGATATGTGCCATAGTGTCCAGTTTCTACTGAATCTTAATCCTATTCAGCACCAACCAGGGGTCTTCTGGTCCTAACCTCTGAGCCATTTAATCAAGTAGCAGTTTATCTCAGCAAACTCCTTTACCAAAGAGCTTCTTATCCCGACCAACCTACAGTCTAAATATATTTAACCTCATGCCAATCAGCTACATCCTTGCTATACCAAGCCTGAAGCTTAGAGTAAAACCAGAATCATGAACACTTTAATGGAGCAAGCACAACTTGAATTGACTTGTAACTATATTCTTTCAGAACTGAAGCTATTATTCTATATCATAGTTTATTTTGATCAAGTATAACCTTTAGTTTGTGCTGTTCCCTTATTGATGATTTCTAAGCCCACATTTTCTTTTTTTCTTTCTGTTTTTGTTTGTTTGTTTTTTGAGAAGGAGTCTTATTCTGTTGCCCAGGCTGGAATGCAGTGGCTGATCTCAGCTAACTGCAGCCTCCACCTCTTGGGTTCAAACAATTCTCTTGCCTCAGCCTCCAGAGTAGCTGGGATTACAAGCATCAGGCACACGCCACCACACCTGGCTAATTTTTGTATTTTTAGTAGAGATGGGTTTTTGCCATGTTGGCCAGGCTAGTCTCGAACTTCTGACCTCAGTGATCCACCCACCTCGACCTCCCAAAGTGCTGGGATTACAGGCACGAGCCACCGAGCCCAGCCAGTAATCTCATTTTTTAAAGTCAGGCTGGGCACAGTGGCTCGTGCTTGTAACCCCAGCACTTTGGGAGGCCCAGGCGGGCAGATCATGAGGTCAGGAGTTCGAGACCAGCCTGGCCAACACAGTGAAACCTCATCTCTACTAAAAATACAAAAAATTAGCTGGGCGTGGTGGTGGGCACCTGTAATCCCAGCTACCTGGGAGGCTGAGACAGGAGAATCGCTTGAACCCAGGAGGCAGAGGTTGCAGTGAGTGAGATCACACCACTGCACTCCAGCCTGGGCGACACAGCTAGACTCCATCTCAAAAAAAAAAAGTCAAACAAAATATAAACTATTTATCATAGGAATCTCAAAAGCCTAGACTAGATGGGGTATATAGCAGCTCCAAAACTCACCTCACTCCTTAGTTTATGAACAAGCCTCTGCTTGTTTAGAATATACACTTATTCCAACTCCTGACATCCACCACAGAAAGATTGCCTTGTAATTGCAGATATTGCCATATATAGTCCATATGATGAAACCTGAAAGAGTATTTTATTAATTCAGCTTTCAGGCAGATCCCAAAAAACCCATTGGGGGACACATTCTGGCTCATGCTTCAACAACAAGAATAAGCTTGCGAAAGGGAAGAGGAGAGCTCAGAATTGCCAAGATTTATGACAGGTAAATTTTTTTTTATTTTGTGTGTGTGTGTGTGTGTGTGTGTGTGTGTGTGTGTGTGTGTGTGTGTGTAGAGACGGGGTTTTGCCATGTTGCCCGAGCTGGTCTCAAACTCCTAGGCTCAAGCAATCCTCCCACCTTGGGCTCCCAAAGTGCTGGGACTATAGGTGTGAGCCACCACAAGGCTGTAATTATTACTGCCAGATGCTGTGTGTTTGAATTTCTTTCTAAAAAATTATTCAATTTATTGGGAAGTCCCTACTGTTACTAGGTACTAGGGATTGAGGGATTCTATTGACACATAGACTTGGTCCCTGACCTTTCAAAGCATACACCTAGATAATGAAATCATCAATTCCAATTAAATTGTGTTAAATACAAGGTAAGTATCAAGTATGGGAACATATCCTCCTTTCTTTTTGCCAGGTTAACTCTATTTGTTTTTCAGGTTTCAGTTTAAACATCACTTTCTCAGGGAACCTTTCCCTAACCCTTACAGTCTAGGCTACTCAGTATATTATACCCTATATTCTTTCTCAGCACTTTACGTGTTTAATTAAGAATTACAGATTTTGGCCCGGCACAGTGGCTCACACCTGTAATCCTAGCACTTTTGGGAGGCCGAGGTGGGCGGATCACCTGAGGCCAGAAGTTTGAGACTAGCCGAGATCGCGCCACTGCACTCCAGCCCGGGCGACAGAGTGAGACTCCGTCTCAAAAAAAAAAAACAAAAACAAAAAACAAAAAAGAATTGGATAACCTGGGAGGATGTGCTAGACAACCTATGTTTCCATGGAAGGTACTCAGTAATCTTTTAATTTATTTCAAAGTATTTTACAGTTTGCTCCTACATTAGTCTAGTCATAAGAAAGGTGCATACCCCTATAGAATCAGATAAACCTCTAAGGGGCTGCTATACAATGCCTGACACTATACTAAAAGAACATCCAGTTGGCCAGGCGCAGTGGCTCACGCCTGTAATCCCAGTACTTTGGGAGGCCGAGGCAGGCGGATCACCTGAGGTCAGGAGTTCAAGACCAGCCTGGCCAACATGGTGAAACCCCGTCTCTACTAAAAATACAAAAATTAGCCGGGCGTGGTGGCAGGCACCTGTAATCCCAGCTACTCAGGAGGCTGAGGCAGGAGAATGGCTTGAACCCAGGAGGCAGAGGTTGCAGTGAGACGAGATCTCACCATTGCCTGGGGGACAAGAGCAAGACTTCGCCAAAAAAAAAAAATTAAAATAAATAAATGAAAGAACATCCAGTTATCCTTTCACCTGTTTCCAAGTTTGGAGTAATTTTTCTTGACATTCAGAACTTTATATATAGAAGTTGCTCAATAAATGTTTGTGAGGGTTAATAATACTTGTGGGTAAGTTCTGTAGGCCACATTTGGTTGTACCAACTCTGAGATGTCTCTGGAGATTCAGACTGATGGGCACATAATGCCTGTGACATGAATATAGTATTTATAGAAATAGAGCTTTTTATAAACTTCTGTTCCCTTGTATTCTGTTAGTCCTGAGATGCCTGAAAATGAAGCCACCTTCGCAATAACTGCTGGAGGAATTGGGGATGCCAAGGAGTAGGTGGTGAATTGATGCAAATTGCTTCTTAGTGCTTATTAGGAGCTGAAGAAATGGAAAAGCAGTCTCCAATTTCACATCTTGAAATAGAGGTTTTTTCCCACATGTTACTAAAGAAAAGTCAGCAAAGAGATTTAAATCTTATATTTATCTTAAAAGTCCCTGATTTATGATAACTATACATTGTATGTAAATTCAGGGATATGTATATGTATGTTTGTGTGTGTGTGTGTTTGTGTGTGTATACCTGACATATATAGTAGATATATATACCTATTGAAATTCTCTCACTCTGTGTATGTATATATACCTATGGAAAACTAGTTGTTGGGAAAGGAGTACGTGATTCCCTCCCTTTCACTTTTCAAAGTGAGCCACTAAACAGAAAGTCTAAGAGTTCAGAAATGTCCCATTCTCCTAAGGACTTTCCCTTCACCATTTTTCTAGGGTATAGTGCCACTGACTTACATAGCTAGATGTTTTTCCACAAGAGGATTTAAGGGAGGAATGTTTATAGGACACACACACAAAAGCTCTTTCTATTTATAATATCAAACTGCATATTCACCTTTATAGCAACAGAAAACAGACATTAAATTAAGCCAAATTTTAAATCATTTGACTTTGACAAGCAGAAATTACTTTTAAAAAATGTATTTATGGCTGGGCGTGGTGGCTCACACCTGTAATCCCAGCACTTTGGGAGGCCGAGGCAGGTGGATCACTTGAGGTCAGGAGTTCAAGACCAGCCTGGCCAACATGGAGAAACCCCATCTCTACTAAAAATACAAAAATTAGCCAAGTGCAGTGGCATGTGCTTGTAATCCCAGCTACTCTGGAGGCTGAGGCAGGAGAATTGCTTGAACCCAGGAGGCAGAGATTGCGGTGAGCCAAGATGGCACCACTGCACTCCAGCCTAGGTGACAGAGTGAGACTCCGTCTCAAAAAAAAAAAAAAAACTTTTTTAAAATGTTAAAATTAATTTAAATGTAAAATTTCTGAATACTAATCTTAGAAATGTGTAAAAGATATTATTTTGATTGTTAAACAAATAAAATCCTGTTTTCAAAATGCATGTATGGTGAAAATATGTAAAAATTAATATACTAATGACAATATACAATGAAGAGCTTTATAGACTTCAATCTTTATAGACTTTAATGTTACATCAACTTACATGAAAATTCCAGGGCTGGGCGTGGTGGCTCACACCTATAATCCCAGCTCTTTGGGAGGCCAAGGCGAGTGAATTGCTTGAGCCCAGGAGTTTGAAGACCAGCCTGGGCAATATGGCAAAACCCCGTCTCTACAAAAATACAAAAAAATTAGCCAGGCGTGCTGGTGTGTGCCTGAGGTCCCAGCTACTCAGGAAGCTGAAGTGGGAGGATTGCTGGAGCCCAGGAGGTGGAGGTTGCATTGAGCCAAGATAGAGCCACTGCACTCCAGCCTGGGTCACAGAGTGAGACTCTGTCTCAAAAAAAAAAAGAAGGAAAGAGAAGAAAATTCAAGTATTCGAAGTACCATTTGTTACAAAAGGTATTTGATTATTCATGAAATTATTCACTCACTAATTATTATTAATGCTAAGCGCTAAAGAATAAACAAGGAAAATGTGGTTCCTACACATAAAGCATGTGTACACTAGTTAAGAGAAAAGACTAATATTTAGGAAAACAAGAGAGCAAATGATTATATAATTAATTCATAAGCAGTGTAATCTTGGATTGACCCTTAAAGAAAAAGTAAAATTCTGCTGGGTGCGGTAGCTCACGCCAGTAATCCCAGCACTTTGAGAGGCCGAGGTGGGTGGATCACTTGAGGTCAGGAATTCGAGACCAGCCTGGCCAACACAGTGAAACCCCATCTCTACTAAAAATATGAAATTAACTGGGCGCGATGACGCACGTCTGTAATCCCAGCTACTCAGGAGGCTGAGGCAGGAAAATCTCATGAACCCAGGAGGCGGAGGTTGCAGTGAGCTGAGATCATGCCACTGCACTCCAGCCTGGGTGACAGAGCGAGACTCCGTCTCAAAAAAAAAAAAAAAAGTAAAATTCCAAAAATGGGAGGGGAAAGGTTAAGCTGAGAGACTGCAAAGGTATAGGAGCTGGGATATGGAAAGAAAACAGAGACTAACTCGGCAAGTAGAAATTGTTCACAATGCAGGATACTGGGAAATAGGAGCTTTTTTTCTTCCTTTTACCTTTTGAAAACCACAGAAGCTGCTTCCCTGAATAAGCAGAAATAAAGTCATCTAGGAGCAGATTTTCTGCATTCTGCAAAATCACTTAAATGGCTTATTTTCGTATGCAAATATAAAGGCACACTTTTGTCCTAGGGAAAGGAAGGCTTTGTTACTTGATTCATTGTGTATATTTTAAATTTTCTGTGTATTATGCTGTTTTAACTTTTTTGTTTTGTTTTGTTTTGTTTTTTGTTTTGTTTTTTGTTTTGAGACACAGTTTCACTCTTGTTGCCCAGGCTGGAGTGCAATGGCGCAATCTCAGCTCACTGAAACCTCCTCCTCCTGGGTTCAAGCGATTCTCCTGCCTCAGCCTCCCGAGTAACTAGGATTACAGGCGCCCACCACAATGCTCGCTAATTTTTTGTATTTTCAGTAGAGATGGGGTTTCACCATGTTAGCCAGGCTGGTCTCGAACTCCTGACCTCAGGTGATCCACCTGCCTCAGCCTCCCAAAATGCTAGGATTACAGGCGTGAGCCACCACGCCCGGCCTGTTTTAACATCTTGAAAAATCATTCTAGCTGGGGAGAGACTGCCCCTATCAGGGATAGCCAATTCTTAGAGATAGCAAAGGCACTAGCCAAGAGCATGCCTTTGATGCGCAAACTAACTAATCTACAGCCATCCTAGCTCTATCTGGCCCTTACACTCCAGAAGAGACTATTCCTTTCCCTTAATCATCCCAGGCCCTGCTACCAGGCAACTAGGGGCCACCCATCTAATTTAGAGCCTATTGAAATTTCAGCCTGGGCAACATGGTGAAACCTGGTCTCAAAAAACAAACAAAAGTTAGCCAGGTGTGGTGGCATGTCTGTAGTCCCAGCTACTCAGAGGCTGAGATGGGAGAATCACTTAAGCCCAGGAAGTCGAGGCTGCAATGAGCCGTGATGGCACCACTGTACTCCAGCCTGGGCGACAGTGAGACCCTGTCTCAAAAAAGAAAAATAAAGAAAAAGAAAAAGATTATTCAACTGGCCACTCCTCAACTGTTTAACCTGCCCTGCCTCAGAAATGTCAACAAAGGCCATGGCCCAAGCTCTCCCCCATCCCAGTGTTCTGCCTCCTGACTACCCCCACATTCCCCAGTGATCTCTGCATGGCATGTGGTGACCCCCTCTTTAGGACCTGAGTATAATAAACTTTCTTCTACAAGCCTCTCCTATCTTTCCTCCTGTGGCGACATCTGACTATCCTATAAATGTACAATTTAAATAGCTTTGACAACATCCTTGATAAAAACTGAGCATCTCCTAGAGATTCCCTGGTATGAGGAGCCCTGGAGAGGGGGTGGACCAATTTGCATAGCAGCCCAGAGTCTTTTAGTAGGGACAGAAATAAAACTCTCAAGACTTGAAATTCAGAGAATTTTTCTGGGTTAAGCAGAGTACCCCTGACGAAGGACAATTTACCAAGAAGTGGGCATTTGGGTTGGAAAACAGGGCCCAAAACAAAGGCCTAAAGTTCAGTGGAGAAGCTGGTTTCAATATGGCATCTGGCTAAGGCTGGAAATCTCTCTGGGTCCAGCCACTCTTACATGTCCTGCTTTGGAGAACAGTGGCTGAGTGTTAGAATGTGAACTAAAAAGCTGTAACTTGGGGCCCAACTTTGGGACAGAACTGCAGATTATGCAGGTATCTGGGCCAGCAGGAAAATCACCAGTGCCCACTGAGCTTTTCTAGGCCGGGGTTCAATTTGTTTCCTGTGAGCAAAGGACCATGGCTTTCCAGTCCTCCACTCTCCATTTGAGTGTAGACATAGGTCTGGTCTATTTCTGGCCTATATAGGGGAGAGGAGCACTCAAAAAAGAGGGTTTATTGGTTAGGACTCTTTTGGTTGCAAGCCACAGAAACATACTGTTACCAGAAAAGGGTCCTAATCCAGACCCGAGAGAGTTCTTGGACCTCACCCAAGAAAGAATTTGGGGTGAGTCCATAGAGTAAAGCAAAAACAAGTTTGTTTGTTTATTTATTGATTGATTTTTGAGATGGAGTCTTCCTCTGCTACCCAGGCTGGGGTGCAGTGGCGCAATCTTGGCTCACTGCAACCTCCACTCCCAGGTTCAAACGATTCTCCTACCTCAGCCTCCCAAGTAGCTGAGATTGCAGGCGCCCGCCACTACACCCGGCTAAGTTTTGTATTTTTAGTAGAGACGAGGTTTCACCATGTTGGCCAGGATGGTCTCGAAATCCTAACCTCAGGTGATCCACCCACCTCAGCCTCCCAAAGTGCTGGGATTACAGGCATGAGCCACCGTGCCCTGCTACTTTCTTTTTCCCTTTTTTCTTTCTTTTTTTTTTTTTTTGAGAGGGATTTCATTCTTGTTGCCCAGGCTGGAGTGCAATGGTGCAATCTCTGCTCATTGCAACCTCCGCCTCCTGAGTTCAAGTAATTCTGCTTCAGCCTCCCAAGTAGCTGGGGTTACAGGCATGCCTAACCTCGCCTGGCTAATTTTTTGTATTTTTAGTAGAGATGGAGGTTTCACCATGTTGGTCAGGCTGGTCTTGAACTCCTGACCTCAGGTGATCCACCTGCCTCGGCCTCCCAAAGTGCTGCGATTACAGGCGTGAGCCACTGCACCTGGCCCCGGCTACTTTCTTAATAAACTTGCCTTCAGGCTAGGCACAGTGGCTCACGCCTGTAATCCCAACACTTTGGGAGGCTGAGGTGGGCAGATCACGAGGTTAGGAGTTCAAGACCAGCCTGACCAACAAGGTGAAACCCCATCTCTACTAAAAATACAATAATTAGCCGGGCATGGTGGCTGGCACCTGTAGTCCCAGCTACTCGGGAGGCTGAGGCAACAGAATCTGTCTCAAAAAAAAAAAAAAAAAAAGAATAAAAAAATGGCTATTCCATAGGCAGAGCAGCAGCATGGGCTGCTTGACTGAGTATACTTACGGTTAGTTCTTGAGCATGTGCTAAACAAGGGGCAGATTATTCATGAATTTTCCAGGAAAGGAGTGGGCAATTCCCGGAACTGATGGTTCCTCTCCTTTTAGACCATACAGGATAACTTCCTGACGTCATGGCATTTGTAAACTGTCATGGCGCTGGTGGGAGTGTCTAGCATGCTAATGCACTATAATTAGTGTATAATGAGCAATGAGGACAACCAGAGGTCACTTTCATTGCCACCTTGGTTTTGGTAGGTTTAGGGCAGCTTATTTACCTATCCTGTTTTATCAGCAAGGTCTTTGTGACCTGTATCTTTGTGACCTCCTGTCTCATCCTGTGATTAAGAATGCCTGGTGGCTCACACCTGTAATCCCAGCATTTTGGGAGGCTGAGGTGGGCAGATCACGAGGTCAGGAGATCTAGACGATCCTGGCCAACATGGTGAAACCCGTCTCTACTAAAAATACAAAAATTAGCTGGGCGTCATGTTGCATGCCTGTAGTCCCAGCTACTCCAGAGGCTGAGGCAGAAGAATCGCTTGAACCCGGGAGGTGGAGGTTGCAGTGAGCAGAGATCATGCCACTGCACTCCAGCCTGCAACTCCATCTCACAAAAAAAAAAAAAAAAAAAAAAAAAAGAATACCTAACCTCCTGGGAATGCAGGCCAGTAGGTCTCAGCCTTATTTTACCCAGCCACTATTCAAGATGGAATCCCTCTGGTTTGAACACCTCTAACAATGCTAGCAAATGCAAGACAAGGAATTCAGTGGCTCACGAAACTGAAAAATCCAGAGGAAGAGCTGACTTCAGCCACAGGTGAAGCCAAGGTGTCGACAGCAGCCTCAGGACTCGATCTTGCTGCCTCCATCTCCTGCTCTGCTGATTTCCGTGCTGCTATTGTTTTCAAACAGGCCTTCCCCACACAGTAGCCAAGTTACTGCTTCTAACTTTGGTGGGATGCATCAAGTTAGAAAACTCACTAGGAACATGCCTTTTTCCTCATAGATTATTCATTCTGGGCCAGGCGCAGTGGCCCGCGCCTATAATCCCAGCACTTTGAGAGGCCGAGGAGGGCGGATCACCTGAGGTCAGGAGTTCAAGGCCAGCCTGGCCAACATGGCGAAACCCCAACAAAAAAATTAGTCGGGTTTGGTGGTGCGCACCTGTAATCCCAGCTACTCAGGAGGCTGAGGCAAGAAAATCGCTTGAACCGGATAGTCGGAGGTTGCAGTGAGCCGAGATGGTGCCACTGCACTCCAGCCTGGGCAACAAGAGTGAAACTCCGTCTCAGAAAAAAGAAAAGAAAAAAGAAAGAGAGAGAGAAAGAGAAAGAGATTAGATACAAGGGATATCTTTCATCATGGTGAGGAGAAGGATTGGGCCTTAGACACCAAGTGTGGCTAGTCAGGACTCCTTCAACTGACCCTGGCTTGTTAGGGCAAATGTTTCACATTTTCTGGTTGCACAGTTTGCATTTCTCCATCATAATAACACTTGTTTTCTTTCAAAGAGTCACCTCTCCCCAATTCAGGTAGTGCATCCTGAGACATTGAATATGAAGTGACAGTCACAAGGATGACAGCAGGGGTTAGAGGCTGCTCACACCTGCAGTGACAGCAGGGGGAGCAGGGGCAGCAGGGCCTAGCAGCAGTGGCAGAGGCCTGACCAGGCTGTTCCTGCTGCTAGACTGGGGTTTCCGGCTCCTAGACTGCTGAGTGGCTCAGACTCCCATCCATGCCCAGGCTGTTTCTGCAGTCTTCTGCTAATTCAATGAACCCTAATGTCCTTTTTTTTTTTTTTGAGACAGACTCTAGCTCTGTCACCCAGCCTGGAGTGCAGTGGTGTGATCTTGGCTCACTGCAACCTCCACCTCCTGGGTTCAAGCGATTCTCCTGTCTCAGCCTCCCGAGTAGCTGGGATTACAGGTGTGCACAACCCCACCCAGCTAATTTTTGTATTTTTAATAGAGATGGGGTTTTGCCATGTTGGCTAGGCTGGTCTTGAACTCCTGACCTCAGGTGATCCACCCGCCTTGGCCTCCCAAAGCACTGGGATTACAGGCATGAGTCACCACGCTCAGCCCCTAATGTCTTTCTAATAAGTTTCCCTTTGCCTTAGTTAGCCAGTTAGATTCTATCACTTGCCATCTAGAACTCCAACCAAGGTAACAACAGAGTGCCTCTCAAGTGCCGCCTTCAGGGACTGGAGAAAGGGAAGCCAGGAGGGGCTTGCTTAACACTCGGGTGGGACAGCTCTCATTATTCATACTCTTCACGTGCTTTCCTACGCCAGGCTTCAATATTTTGAGAGGGAAGTTGTTAAAGGGATAGCTTAGATTTTACTTGACTGAATATAAGGGAAAACCCCCAAAATAAGTGTCCCAAACAAAATACAGGTTTATTTTTCTCTCATAGAAAAGAAATCTAAAGCTAGGCAGTCCAGAGATGCTACTACAGTGGGTCCACTTTGTCATCAGGCCCGCAGGCCTCTATCTTTCTGCTTGACCATCTTAATTTTTGACTTCCGTCTTCAAGGTCAGCTCATTGCCTAAGTTGGCAGCTGGAGCTCTAGTCAGAGAAACCAAGTTGAGAGAAGAAAGATAAAAGGCAGTCTGGGTGCAGTGGCTCACACCTGTAATCCCAGCACTTAGGGAGGTTGAGGCAGGTGGATCACTTTAGGACAGGAGTTCGAGACCAGCCTGGCCAACCTGGTGAAATCTCATCTCTACTAAAAATACAAAAATTATCCGGGTGTGGTGGCATGCGCCTGTACTCCCAGTTACTCAGGAGGTTGAGGCGGGTGAATCTCTTGAACCCGGGAGGCAGAGGTTGCAGTGAGCCAAGATTGTGCCACTGCACTCCAGCCTGGGTGACAGAGTGAGACCCTGTCTCAAAGAAAGAAAGAAAGATAAAAGGCAGAAGGGCAAAAAGAAAAAAAAAGAAGGAAAAGCTCTGTCTAGCTGACTCAGCTCCTGTAAAGCAGCCCTACCATACAACACTTGTGCTTATATCTCATTGGCCATACCCATGCACAAAAGAGGTAGGAAAATACAGACTTTTGTTCCAGACATCAATATGCCCAGCTAAAATTTGGAGTTCTGTTATTAAGGAGGAAAAGGAGCCAGGCATGGTGATGAGCACCTGTAGACCTAGGTACTCAGCAGCTGAGGCGTGAGGATCGCTTGAGCCTAGGAGTTCAAGATGGCAGTGAGCTGTGATCGTGTCACTGCACTCCAGCCCAGGTGACAGAACAAGACCCTGTCTTCTCTCTCTCGCTCAATTTTTTTTTCCAGAGGTTACAGGGTCTCTCTCTGTCACCCAGGCTGGAGTGCAGTGGGGCAAGCATAGCTCACTGCAGCCTCAAGCACCTGGGCTCAAGTGACGCTCCCACCTCAGCCTTCCACGTATATGGAAAGTATCTGGAACCACACACACACACCACCACACCCAGCTAATTTTTTTATTATTTGTAGAGCTGAGATTTCACTATGTTACCTAGGCTGATCTTGAACTCCTGGGCTCAAGGGATCCTCCCGCCTCGGCCTCCCAAAGTGCTGGGATTACAGGTGTGAGCCACAGCGCCAGCCTCCTGACTCTTAATTGAAAAGGGAGAAAGGGAGAATGGTTGTTGGATAAGCAATTAGCATTCTTTACAACAAAATCTTCTTTTACTTCCTCATTAATGATAAACTTATTGAATGCCTATTGTATACTATGCAAGGTGTTTCAGATTTTCTGTTTGTTTGTTTTACAGATGGGGTCTCAGTCTGTCACCCAGGCTGGAGTGCAGTGGCACAATCATAGCTCAATGCAACCTCAAATGCCTGGGCTCAAGCGACCCTCCCGCCTCAGCCTCCCAAGTAGCTGGGACTATAGGCACATGCCACCATGCCTGACTTGTTTCAGATTTTGTACTTGTATTAGAAGAGCTGGTTGAGGAGTGTATCAGTTAGAATGCTTTCAGCTACAAGTAACACAAAGCTCAAAAAAGTAGATTAAACAATGAGGAAGCATGTCATTTCAAATAAGAAGTCCAGAAGTCAACCAGCTCCACAGTTGGCTAATACAGTGACTCTATAATGTCATCAAGGGCCCAGGTTCTTTCCTTCTCTCCACTTTCCCCACCTTCGGTGTGCTGGTTCTGTTCTCCAAAAGTTCCCTTCATGGTTAAAAAACAACTACAGCAGTTTCCTTTTCATATCCTAAGATGAAAACATGAAGAAAAAGATAAGGGATTTTGCGGGGAGGAAGGAAATAGCTCACTCACGCAGCTACATTCAGCTAGTAGGCTGGCTGAAGGGTCTGGGATGGCCTCACTTGTATATCTGGGGTCTTGGCAGGATATACTTGTAAGTATGAGACTTCTCTCTCCACATTGTCTCTTGTCATTCAGCGCTCTAGAGGAAACTTCTCTTTTTTCTGTCTTTTTAGACACAGAGTCTTGCTCTGTCGCTCAGGTTGGAGTGCAATGGTGCCATCTTGGGTCACTGCAACCTCCGCCTCCTGGGTTCAAGCCATTCTCCTGCCTCAGGCTCTCGAGTAGCTGTGATTACAGGCGCCCACCATCACACCTGGCTAATTTTTTGTATTTTTAGTAGAGACGGGGTTTCACCATGTTGGCCAGGCTGATCTCGAGTTCCTGACCTCAAGTGATCTGCCCACCTCAGCCCCGCAAAGTGCTGAGATTACAGGCGTCAGCCACTGTGCCCAGCCTGTAAATACCATTTTTAAGACTACAACCTCCACCTCCCCAATTCAAGCGATTCTCCTGCCTCAGCCTCCTGAGTAGCTACAGGCATGCGCCATCACGCCCAGCTAATTTTTTTGTATTTTTAGGAGAGACGGGGTTTCATCATGTTAGCCAGACTATTTCTATTAGGCCCGGCCTATTTATATTATTATTACACCGTAATATATAATGAAGGCCAGATGCGGTGGCCATGTAATCCTAGCACTTTGGGAGGCCAAGGTGGGTGGATCACTTGAGGTCAGGAGTTCAAAACCAGCCTGGCTAATAATGGCAAAAGCCAGTCTCTACTAAAAAATATAAAAATTAGCGTCATGTCGCATGCTTGTAATCCCAGCCACTCAGAAGGCTGAGGCAGGAGAATTGCTTGAACCCAGGAGGCAGAAGTTGCAGTGAACCAAGATCGCGCCATTGCACTCCAGCCTGGGCGACAGAGTGAGACTCTGTCTCTAAAAAAAAACAAAAAACAAAAAAAGCTACATAGGCCTCTCACAATTTGCCCACAAAGAAATTCCTTGTGGGCCTCCAAGATCTTTACACTAAAACAGTTCCGTTGAATTTCACCCCGACAATGTACATTGATGGTTTACCATCACAAGCACAGGACAAAGGACAAAACTAAAAAGTCATCCCTCTGCTCGCCTGAAACAAACACATAGCTGACTGCTGCCTCTGCTCTATGATTATTTTATCTTACGTGAAAATGCAGATTATCTGAGCGTGAGCAGAAAGCATCAGTGAAGACTATCAAAGACCCAGAAGAGGACACGGACACATGGAGCGGGGGAACAACACATACTGGGGCCTGTTGGGGGTCGGCGGAGGGAGAGCATCGAGAAGAATAGCTAACGGATGCTGGGCCTAATACCGAGGCAAGGGGTTGATCTGTGCAACAAACCACCATGACACACGTTTTCTTGTGTAACAAACTTGTATATCCTGAACATGTACCCCAGAATTAAAATAAAAGTTGATGACAAAGGCCAGGCAAGGTGGCTCACGCCTGTAATCCCAGCACTTTGGGAGGCCGAAGCAGGCAGATCACCTGAATTCAGGAGTTTCAGACCAGCCTGGCCAACATGGTGAAACCCTGTCTCTATTAAAAATGCAAAAATTAGCCAGGTGTGGTGGCGTATGCCTGTAATCCCAACTACTCAGGAAGCTGAGGCAGGAGAATCGCTTGAAACCAAGAGGCGGAGGTTGCAGTGAGCCAACTGCACTCCAGCCTGGGCGACAGAGCGAGACTCTGTCTCAAAAAACAAAAGCCGTTGAGATGTCAGTTGGCCCAGAAACACAAAGGGACAGTCACAGACTCACTGGACAAGGGTATGGCGTGGTCGAATGGCTAAAAGGTCAGGCACTGTGCCAGGTAGGCACTGGGTCACGGTGGTGAACAAGTAAGTTCCTGCACTCACAGATTTTACGCTCTAGGAGGGAGACAAAAAGTGTTTATGTCAAGCAGTTACTAATTCAAATGAAAGCAAAGAAAAATGGAAAAGAGAGAATGCATGTGTACTTGTGAAGGAGGAGAGTATGCAGGTTATGCAGTGTTGCATTGGGTTCTGGGGAGGCCTCCCTGATTGAGTGACATGTGAGCACAGACCTAAACTGAGGTATCTAGCCTTGCTGACATAGAGTAAAGAGCGAGTGCAAAGGCCCTGAGGCCGAGTGTGGCTAGAGTAGAACAAGGAGGAAAGACAGAAGAGGGCTGCATCCTCAAGGGCTTGTAGGCCACTGTAAGGCCTTTGTCTTTTCTTTCAAGTGGAAACCTCTGGAAAATTTTAAGTAAAGTGACATAATAAAAGGACCCCTATGACTGCAGTGTGAAGAATAAATTCAGAGTGAGCAAGGACAGGAGCAGGCAGATTAAAAAGAGGCGAGCGCAGTCATCCAGGCAAGAGATGATGAGGATTGGGGCAGGTTAACAGTGTAAATAAAAGAACATGACCCAGGCCGGTGCGGTGGCTCACGCCTGTAATCCCAGCACTTTGGCAGGTCGACACGGGTGGATCACGAGGTCAGGAGTTCAAGACCAGCCTGGCCAAGATGGTGAAACCCCAGCTAAACTACAAATATTAGCCAAGTGCGAGGGCAAGCACCTGTGATCCCAGCTACACGGGAGGCTGAGGCAGGAGAATTGCCTGAACCCGGGCGGCAGAGGTTGCAGTGAGCCGAGATTGTGCCACTGCACTCCAGACAAAAAAAAGAAAAAGAATATGACCCAGGCGAGTCTCAATCACTTTAAGAGGTTCACTTGCCAATGTTAAGAACGTACTTGGGGAAAAAGAACACATAACCACAGAAAAATCAGTGGTCCATGTTTTTTTTCTTTTTGAAGCTCCTTTTCTTATGCTATGTTCCCAAAAATTTGGGAAACAAACACTCAGCACCCACACTGAGGGGCCAAATCTCCCCGCTTCTACCCATCTGTTGAATTGAGACGTTAGATGGGCCCGTCTCGAGGGCCCTAACAGCTCAACAGTCGTGTGACGCCATTTGGCCAAGCTTGCGGGGCTTCAAAATGCAGTTTGAGACGACAGGAAGCAGGTAAGGAGAGGGAAGCCAGTCTGGAAGGAATTGAGCGGAGAACGTGGACTAGCCTGGTTAAACACTTGTCCTTAGCCTTCGCCCTTTCTGTGTCTAAAGACCATCGCTCTGAAACCTTGTTCTCCTGAGAGTGCTGGGGTCTTCTCCGGGCCTTCTGAGGAGCGCCGTTCAACGGCAGCAAAGGGCCCACGGAGTCCACTGGGGCTCCAAGCAATTTTTTTTTTGAGACGGATTCTTGCCCCGTCGTCCAGGATGGAGTGCAGTGGCACGTTCTCGGCTCACTGCGACCTCCGACTCCCGGGTTCAAGCGATTCTCCTGCCTCAGCCTCCCAAGTAGCTGGGACTACAGGCACCCGCCACCATGTCCTGCTAATTTTTGTATTTTTCGTAGAGACGGGGTTTTGCCATTTTGGCCAGGCTGGTCTCGAACTCCGGGACTCAGGTGATCCTCCCGCCTCGGCCTCCCAAAGTGTTAGTATTACAAGCGTGAGCCACCATGCCTGGCCTCCAAGCACATTTTGTTTCTGTATTAGCAACAGCTGTGCTCGGCCAGGGACGGTAAAAATATACGGTTCAGAAAATGCACCTCAGTGTGAACCAAATGTAGCTGAGGGCACTTTAACCTGGAAGGGACATCGCCACCTCACAAACTCCGGAAAGAAAGGGACACGGCTCTTCCATCATGGCTGCCGGAGACAGAGCAGCGAAAGGCAACGGAAAGGAAATGGCGCCGGGGCCCGCCGCCATTCTCAGCGGGCCCAGGGCGGTGGGGCGAGAGGGCTGGCGGCGCCATATAGGAAGGCCAGCCACGGAATTTAAGACCCTCCCGGCCTCTGGCGCCAGAGGACTCTGAAACTTGATAACAATATGGAGGACGGTTATTGTCTCTGCAAAGCAACTTCTTCAAGCCGGCCGCGGGGTCTGTACCGAGATCGGAATCAGGCAAAATCCTCTATTCTCTAAACAGAATGCGTTACGCATACTGCGCATCTTAGCAACAGCAGGCCGGCTAACGACGCAAAGAATGTTACGTCGCACCAGAGGCGCTTCCTCCCACCTCATCCCACGTTCTAGTTCGGGTGGCGCGAGAACTCTACGCTCGCTCCGTACTTTGTTTTTCTTGTACAGACCGCAAAATACACCCATCGTCGCAACTGACGTAAAGTGCTTCCAAGAATACCCGTAGTTCCCCGCGGAGCCCTCGGGCTATTCCGAGGCGCTGTTTACGTATCGTCTCCGCCGTACGCAGCGTTAAGTTGGAGCCGACTCAGCGGCGGCCGCCATTTTGTGCAGTCGCTGGGAAGGAAGGAGACGCCTAAACCGCGGCACTGCCCGGTTTGAGCGTAGCCAAACCTGCCCACCGGCTTTGTAGCCCCGATTCTCTGTGTTTTGCTCCCGTCTCCGACGAGAGAGGCGGCGACGGTGGCGTCTGCGACGGGAGACAGCGCGTCGGAGCGAGAGAGCGCTGCGCCTGCCGCCGCCCCAACAGCGGAGGCGCCGCCGCCATCGGTCGTCACCAGACCGGAGCCGCAGGCCCTCCCGAGCCCGGCCATCCGTGCCCCGCTCCCAGATCTCTATCCTTTTGGGACCATGCGCGGAGGAGGCTTTGGGGACCGGGACCGGGATCGTGACCGTGGAGGGTAAGGGTGGGGGAGGAGAGGAGAGGCCTGGCGTGGGGGTGGGGGAGTTGCTTCTTGGGGAGGCCCGGCGGACTGCGAGCCTGGGAGCCTTGCTCTCGACCCGGGAGGCGAGGGGAGGCGACTCGAGGCGAGACAGCGGTTTCGTGCGCGGACCTCGGCCCCGGGGTCACTCGGGACCCGAGGAGGGCGGCCGCTTGGCGACGCTGGGCCTCTCCGTGCGGACGGCCGTCGTGGCGCGGCCCGGCCCCATCCCAGCCCCGCGGGGGATCGGGAGGGGCGGCCTGGCCGCATCAGCCCAGGCCCGGGCTTTGGCGCCTCGCCTGGTTTCCCGGCTCTCGAGCCGGGCCGCTTCGGGCGGGCTGTTCGATGTCTCCAGGCCTCGGCGTTCATCTGAAAAACGCGGATCTTCCTGAGAGAACACTTCAGCCCAGGAAAGCCTTACACGAAATGGCACCCTTGACGTTCTCTCCCCAGAGTTCACTGTTTAAGGCACGGGAGACGAAAAGACCAACTTCTCATTTTTAGAAATAGATTTTAATTCTCTTCAGTTATATTTTAAGTCGGAGGAAATGCATTGGGATGTAAAGCAGTGGAGTTGCTTGCCATCTAAATGACCGTGTTTGGGGGAAGGATGGGTTTTTGGGTCGTTACTTTAGTTTTAATCTTAATATTTCAGCCTTTTTTCTCTAATTGGACTGCAGCGTCAACTATTCTGCCTCGCTAGAAAGTTCTTGGTATTGTGGACCGGGCGTGGTGCCTCAGGCCTGTAATCCCAGCGATTTGGGAGGCCGAGGCGGGCGGATCACCGGAGGTCAGGAGTTCGAGACCAGCCTGATCAACATGGAGAAATCCCGTTTCTACTAAAAATAACAAAATTAGCCTGGCTTGGTGGCGCATGCCTGTAATCCCAGCTACTCGGGAGGCCAAGGCAGGAGAATCGCTTGAACCCGGGGGGAGGAGGTTGCAGTGAGCCGAGATCGCGCCATTGCACTCCAGCCCGTGGCAAGAGCGAAACTCCGTCTCCCCCGACCCCCCCGCTTCCCCAAAGAGTTACGTGACGCCACTTGATATGTGTGTGTGTGACCTTGGTCAAGATCCTACCTTTTGTGAGCCTGTTTCCTCTGAGGAACGTGATAATTGCCTTTACTTTGCTGTGTTGTCAGGAATTAAGAGATAATGGATGTAATAGTCTCACTGTAGTAGGCGCTCTGTTAACGATATTTTCTCCAAACGTTTTTGTCTTTTGTGGTTCAGATCCACAACTGCTGGATTTACTAGTCTCAAGCACTTCAGTTGCCACTTTTTACAAAATTATTTTGATTTATACCTTATTAGGAAGGAAAATATTTTATCTCATTGTTTAGAGGATGAGAGGTGGAATGTTTGCTTCGCGTGTGACAGTATTGCTAAGTTTAGAAGTGAATTTCAGTTCATTGACTTAGAAAAAGAACTTGAGATTATCTAGGAAAGTTGAAAACGACCCAGCAATTCCTCCCTAAGCTTTATACCCTAGACTGTAATGCCTAGAGAAATCCTTGCACAGGTACCCCAGGATCCTTGTACAGAAAAGTTTATATACCAGCATTCGTGCTAACAGGATATTGGAAACAACGCAAATGTCTCCATAAATTGTGGGTATTCGTACAATTGAATCAGCCGTGAAAAAGAGAAAAGAACTTGGATTAATGTGGATAAGTCACAGAAGTGTTGAGTTAAAAAGCACGTTGTGGTAGGGTGACACATTTAATTAAGGATATGTGCAAATATGATAGGAAAGGGAGTGGTTAACAAAATTCAAGGTAGTGGTTATTAGGGTGAAAGTTGTAAGCTTGAAATAGGCACATAGAGGGGCTACAAGTTACTAATAGTGTTCTATTTCTTTACCATTGGTGTTTGGTTTAATATTTCCTTTCACCATATATATGCTTTAATAAGTTATTTGAAAGGAAAAAAGTGAATTACTGATCCATACTTTGAGTATCAGATGACATTTTTTAAAAATTTCAAACGAACTAGCCTTCTTTCATAAGATCTGTGCCCCAACTCTCCCTTTCCCAAGAAATGTTCTTGATTATTTGAATTGCTGTTGTTTCAACTGAGTGTTACACAGTTGAAGTGGTGGTTATTTTGAAAAAGGAATAGGTGAGGTCAGTTCATGTATTTCACATGTGTGATGCAAAAATGATAGGCATTGTACATTTGAAGTAGTATGGTTTTTAATGTTAATATATGACTTCAAAGGTGAATTTTTTTGTAAAGCCAAATTAAACTAATTACTGACCGGATAAAAACATTTGAGCAGCATAGTATACCAGAGAGTACAGTGTGCGTATTTAAAGATGGCATGGATATGCTCAAAAGTAAAAGGCTTTCTTGAATTTTGAGGTCATTAATTATGTCAGCATTAATTATAAACATGGAAGACGGCATATTTTCCAAGAACCACATGTTTCAAATTAAATGTTTAGTGTAGAATAGAATGTCTTGAATAAATAGCCAGGGAAGTAAGGAGAGAGGAAAAAAAAATACATGAATGATAATCATCAGTTTAAAGCCTTAACAGGAATCTTACTTTCAAGTTTTATTTTTTCCTAAGTCACTAAGGTTTGGGTAGCATTGCAATGTGGCAATAACAATGAAGTCTTTTATAATTTGCAAGAGTGATAATCCAAAGACTTTCTACCTCTTGAAAAGTACCTTATTTAGCTGCTTCATTTGCAAGTGTGGCGGGAGCGGCAATTGAGGTGGCCTTTTGGTCTGTTCAGTATTGAGTCTTAAGCTGAGGGGCATATTAAATATGTCGCTGACACGGGTATCCCTATGCTATGTGCTCTTCCTGTTCTGATTCTTAATTTGTCTTCACTGTCTCAGTAGTGGTATAAATGGAATTAGCCAAGTTCTGCCTGTTGAGTGTAGGTATCCAGTGATCCCAATAAAATCTCCTGCCATCAATTTTTGTTACGTATGTATTTAGAGGAATGTCTGGCTGGTTAAGCCAGAGTTCTAATGGCTTTGAATTGCAGGAAATTGAGGCCCTGTAGAATAATACACCTACTTGCCTATCAATGATAAAGTGGAACTTTATATAAGATGAAGTTACAAGTGGGTTAGAGTGGGAAAAGGGAACTAAATTCAGTACAATATTTTACAAGGAGTAAAGAAACTGAGAAAATGCTATACAGTTTGTATGCCAAACAAAGACCTGTACTTTACAAGATCGAAATAGGGAAAATTAAGGCCATCTTAGTGTTAAGATTCTTCTAGGAAAAGTAGCTTCTGATTTCTTAAATATTAGCTTTGGCTAGTGGTCATATTTGTATTCCTCTTGAGCTTGTCTGTTGTGAAAGGTATATAAAAAGCAAGAAGTTGATCTTAAGTAATTAGTTGAGTGTTAAAGCCTTAAATAAGTCTTGTTAGTGTTTTTTTCTCTGTAAATTAATAATACCATTTGGGAACAAGAAGGAGATAGAAGGTAAAAGTAGAGATCAAAGAAGAAGGAAAGGTCATAAATCTATGTTCAGCTTTTTTTTTTTTTTTTTGACGGACCCTCCCTCTGTCTACCAGGCTGGAGTGCTATGGTGCCATTTCAGCTCACTGCAACCTCCGCCTTCCGAGTTCCAGCGGTTCTCCTGCCTCAGCCTCCCAAGTAGCTAGGGATTACAGGCGTGCACCACCACGCCTGGCTACTCTTTTGTGTTTTTAGTAAGAGACAGGGTTTCACTATATTGGCCAGGCTGGTCTCAAACTCCTGACCTCAAGTGATCCACTGGCCTCCGCCTCCCAAAGTGCTGGGATTACAGGACTGAGCCACTGCCCCCGGCAGGCTCAGCTCTTTTATTAGCGTAAGCTAAAAATGAAGACCAGTCTACCAGTCCTTTCCAAGACCCAGTTTTGCTTTGCAGATAAGCAGACAGGTGGAGTGCTTATCACAGTTTAATAGGGGAGCAGGCCCAAGAAGCTATTCTAAGATTGAGGGACTTGCTTGGAGTGTATCTTCCTTCTTGTCCACAATCTTCCCTTTAATTGAAACTTAACTTAATGTCATCCTTTGCCTGCATGTCTGTTACACAAAAATAGAGACTTGTGTCTGTTTTGTTTAGTAACTCCAGCACAGCACCACTTCAAACAGTAGCCGATACATACTTGGTACCTAGTAACTTGGTACCTAATAACTATTTGTTGAATGAAATGATGCTAACTTGTACTGAGTGCTGGCTATGCCAGATACTTTTATAGTACATTACACATTATTAGGTCATTTTCTCAGCAGCCTCTGAAATAAGTGGTATTATTTCTACTTTGCATAGGAAACTAAGGTGTGTGGAAGTTAAATAATTCTCTTCAAATTATACAGTAAGTGGCAGAATAAAAACTCAAACCATGTCTGGATCCAGAATCTGTGATTGTAATCCCTAGGATGTATTTCTCTCAATAAAGGGATTTTTAATTTTTTGCCTATTGTAGCTATATTCATAAACAGTATTTATTGTTGGGTAGTAAGGGAGGTTTTACACATTTCTCCATACCTTTAAATCACAGCAAATAAAATGGTCTTTTTGGAGGTAGGCTGGTAGTATCCCTAGAACTCCATCCTTTTTGAATATTCTTATGGCATGTACGATACGTTGCTTTAAAAATACTGATGAACTAACTAAAAATTCTGTTCCTAGATTTGGAGCAAGAGGTGGTGGTGGCCTTCCCCCGAAGAAATTTGGTAATCCTGGGGAGCGTTTGCGTAAAAAAAAGTGGGATTTGAGTGAGCTCCCCAAGTTTGAGAAAAATTTTTATGTGGAACATCCGGAAGTAGCAAGGCTGACACCAGTAAGTTTACATGTGTGTTTTAATGTACAGATTATTGAACCAAGTAGATATATTGGTTAGAGTTTATTCATACGCTACTGTTGCCGTTTTACATTTTATTCTAGTGTGGTGATATTTTTCTTAAAAAATTTTTTGGTTAATTTTTTTTTTTTTTTCCTTTTTGTAGAGACCGGGTTTCGCCATATTCCCCAGGCTGGTCTTGAACTCCCTAGCTCAAGCAAACTACCTGCCTCAGCTTTTCAAAGTGCTAGGATTACAGGCGTGAGCCACTGCACCCAGCTGATTTTTTTTTTTTTTTTTTTTTTTTTTTTTGAGACGGAGTTTTGCTCTTGTTGCCCAGGCTAGAGTGCAATGGTGTGATCTTGGCTCACTGCAACCTCCGCCTCCTGGGTTCAAGCGATTCTACTGCCTCAGCCTCCCAGGTAGCTGGGATCACAGGCACCCGCCACCATGCCCGGCTAATTTTTTGTATTTTTAGCAGAGATGGAGTTTCACTATGTTGGGCAGGCTGGTCTCAAACTCCGGACCTCGGACCTCAGGTGATCGACCTGCCTCAGCCTCTCAAAGTGCTGGGATTACAGGCGTGAGCCACCACGCCCAGCCTCTTTTTATTTTTGAGACGGAATCTTGCTCTGTCACCCAGGCTGGAGTGCAAGAGTCAGGGTTTCACCATGTTGATCAGACTGGTCTCCGTCTCCTGACCTTGTGATCTGCCCGCCTCAGCCTCCCAAAGTGCTGGGATTATGGGTGTGAGCCACCATGCCCAGCCTTTCTTACATTCTTATCTAAGACCCCTAATACTCATAAAAGGGGACCAGTTTAAATATGCATTTAATTTGTTCTCTTGTTGATAATGCTTACTAATCTGTTTATTATACATGATTGAAATATTGTATATTAGGTCATGTTTTTTCATCTGTTAGTGAAAAAGATAGATTGGCTTTTTTTTTTTTTGAGGTGAAGTCTCACTCTGTCCCCTAGGCTAGAGTGCTGTGGCATGATCTTGGCTCACTGCAACCTCTGCCTCCCAGGTTCAAGCAATTCTCCCACCTCAGCCTCCCGAGTAGCTGGGATTACAGACATGTGCCACCACGCCTGGTTCATTTATTATTTATTTTTTTTTTTTCAGTAGAGACGGAGTTTCACCATGTTGGCCAGGCTGGTCTCAAACTCCTGACCTCAAGTGATCCACCCACCTCAGCCTCCCAAAGTGCTGGGATTACAGGTGGGAGCCACCGTGCCCAGCCAACATTGTCTCTTCTTGTACCTCATTACCATTGTTTTTTGGACTCTACACATGAAATGGTTACTCTTTCAGAAGAAAGTGTAATGGAAAGAGTACTTGGGTCCAAGTTCCACTTTTTTTTCCTTCTCATTCTGACCTTGAGCAAGTTACTTATCTTTTTTCTCCTATAGAAAATGGAACTCTTAATCACCTACATCATTAATTAACTTACAAAGTAAGTAGGAGCCTTGCAGAGTTAAAGTGATACACATGAAAGTACCATGTAAACTATTAAATATTTGCCAACATAGCTGTGGACTGGATAATTGCTCAGCTAGCTTGGAACATAAATTCTGAATGTTTAGAATAACTAGTTTACTAACTTCTTTCATTTTTTTTCAATAGTATGAGGTTGATGAGCTACGCCGAAAGAAGGAGATTACAGTGAGGGGGGGAGATGTTTGTCCTAAACCCGTGTTTGCCTTCCATCATGCTAACTTCCCACGTAAGTGTTCTTCAATCTAGAACCTTAATTTGTTAAATTGGGTTGAATGGGAGACAAGGGTAGTAGGTTAAACTCTTTGAGCCAGGCTTGGGGTTTTGTTGAAAGGACAAGAGATTGTTTTTATGGTCATCAGTTCTGTTCTAGTATTTAGACTGAGGTTTTGTTTTTGTTTTGTTTTTTTGAGGTTTTTGTCTTTTTCTAGGGTTTTGCCCTCTGCCTTTTAGAAAACAGCAGAATGAAATTGCTTTCTAGCTGGATATAATGTGAATTTGCTAAACAATAAATGACTACCATGTTCCCATGTCCTGTTAGATGCTTTAGGGTAATGGTTTTTCAAATTTCTGGGAGAGGTAGACTATTGTAGCAGCTTTTGTTTGTTTGTTTTTGGAAACGGAGTCTCAACGTTGTCACCCAGGCTGAAGTGCAGTGGCGCGATCTCAGCTCACTACCTCCTCTGCCTCCTGGGTTCATGCGATTCTGCTTCACCCTCCCGAGTAGCTGGAATTACAAGGGCCCACCACCACTCTGGCTAATTTTTGTATTTTTAGTAGAGACAGGGTTCACCATGTTGACCAGGCTGGTCTGGAACTCCTGGCCTCCACTGGCCTCAGCCTCCCAAAGTGATGGGATTACAGGCGTGAGCCACCTAGCCTGGCCCTTAGAAGCTAACAGTGAGTTGGTCGGAGATCTAGTAGATAAAGAAAAAGCACTTTGGAGAGATGAAGCTGGGTAAATCTTATCTTCAGTGAGCTTAAAAGTTTTTTTAAAAACTCTTGGTTTGTGTCTTTAAACACAATAAAATACGCAAAATAAAATTCTCTTACAGAATATGTAATGGATGTGTTGATGGATCAGCACTTTACAGAACCAACTCCAATTCAGTGCCAGGGATTTCCGTTGGCTCTTAGTGGCCGGGATATGGTGGGCATTGCTCAGACTGGCTCTGGGAAGACGTTGGCGGTATGTATGAGCAAGAGAAGATCCTTGATATTGTGGTAACTTATTTTGCTATTCTAGTTGTCATACGTTCTCAGTTCTTCGTAGAAGTGCCATTCAGATAGTTAGATACTATTTTAGTTATTAAATATATGGAAGCATTTTATGTTCAAATTTGTATTGCTTCCTGTATATAGCAGTGGTAAGTTCTGTTTTTCACTTTCCTATTTATGCATTAATTCAGTAATTACTAAGTATCTAAGTAAGATTGTACTTCTAAGCGTAAGGTTGTCATTCTTTCCCCCCTCCACAGTATCTCCTGCCTGCAATTGTTCATATTAACCACCAGCCATACTTGGAAAGGGGAGATGGCCCAATCGTAAGTGTGTTTCAGTTTCTTTGTAATTCTAAGAAAAACTACAATTTAGCGACTATTTAGGCTTGGTGCTTTACATTATCCATTTGTACTCTTAACCACACCCTCCATAGGTGGAAATGGTTTCATTCTCATCTTACTTGGAATTAAATGACTTACCCAAGATCACTCAGCAATTGAATAGCTGAGCTTACATTTGAACCAAAGTCTTACTCTTAAAGAAACCATGCATGCTGTATGGGCATTTACTGTGCAGTAAATCAAGTGTTTTCTGGTTTTGGTGTGGTTTTTTTTGTTTTTTTGTTTTGATTTTTTGTGTTTTTTTGAGATGGAGGTTCGCTCCGTGTTGGTCAGGCTGGTCTCAAACTCCTGACCTGAGGTGATCAGCCCACCTTGCCCTCCCAAATTGCTGGGATTACAGGCATGAGCCACTGCGTCCAGCCTTCTTTCTTTTTTTTTTTTTTTTTTGGAGATATATTCTCACTCTTGTTGCCCAGGCTGGAGTGCAGTAGCGAGATCTCAGCTCACTGCAACCTCCGCCTGCCAGGTTCAAGCCATTCTCCTGCCTCAGCCTCCCGAGTAGCTGGGATTAAAGGCGTGCACCACCACTCCCAGCTAATGTTTGTATTTTTAGTAGAGACAGGTTTGCACCATGTTGGCCAGGCTGGTCTGGAACTCCTGACCTCAGGTGATCTGCCTGCCTCGGCCTCCCCAAGGTGCTGGGATTACAGGTGTGAGCCACCGCGCCTGGCATTGAATGTGTACTTTTTTTTTTTTTTTTTTTTTTTTTGAGATGGAGTTTCGCTCTTGGTTGCCCACGCTGGAGTACATTGGCACAATCTCGGCTCATTGCAACCTCCACCTCCTGGCTTCAAGCGATTCTCCTGTCTCGGCTTCCCAAGCAGCTGGGATTACAGGCATGCGCCGCCACACCCAGCTAATTTTTGTATTTTTAGTAGAGACGGGGTTTCACCATGTTGGCCAGACTGGTCTCGAACTCCTGACCTCAGGTGATCTGCCTCGGCCTCCCAAAATAATGGGATTACAGGTGTGAGCCACCACGCCCGGCCTACTTAACTTTTTTAAGAAATAAGCTTGCATTTGTCCTATATATTTATGAACATGTACAATATGTCTCAAGATATTCACAAAAAGAAATAATGCAGTACTTATAATACATAGTATATGTCTGACAGCATTATTATTAGTTGATATCTAATGGATCAGTATATAAAGCAAGTTTCATAATTTAATTTGAATGGTATATGATACCTTGATTTTTGTATTATTTGGCCAGATTGTACACAGTCTTGTCAGATTACATGTAAATTTTCATTGTTTTTGCCTTATCTACCTGGTGATGTGCTTAAATTAGAGGTCAGGAATGTGTCATTCTGCCAGTTTAAGTCAGGATGACCATCCAAAATTCCAAATTTTAGGCCAGGCATGGTGGCTCACACCTGTAATCCCAGCACTTTGGGAGGCCAAAGTGGGCAGATCACATGAAGTCAGGAGTTCGAGACTAGCCTGGCCAACATGGGGAAACCCCCATCTCTACAAAAATACAATAATTAGCTGGGCATGGTGGTGCCTGCCTCTAGTCCCAGCTACTCAGGAGGCTGAGGCGCAGGAGAATCATTTGAACCCAGGAAGCAGAGGTTACAGTGAGCCTTCATTGCACCACTGCACTCCAGCCTGGGCGATAGAGTGAGACTTTGTCTCAGAAAACAAAACAAATCCAAATTTTGAGGACCAATATGATCCTCAAAGTAAATGCTTGCTGGAGCATTTTGGTTTTGGGGGTTTAGGATGCTCAACCTGTAAATGAGAGTTGTATACTTAAAACCAGGTAATACAATCTATATCTCCACTTAAACAGTATATATAAACTATAATGATTGATAATGTGTCATAGTAAAAGTGACGAGGATACCAGTATCATTCCAAATGCTAAACATGAAGTTCTAATAATTTTTTTCTATATTCCATTGTGCTAATATTCCCCACTTCTGATCTTCACCCCATCACTTTTAATGTGCTAGATTAGACAGCAAAGAATTAAATTAGCTTTTTGTATTTTGTTTCTTCTTTTTTTTTTTTTTTTTTTTAAACCTTGGATGAGGTCTCAAGTGTCTTTTTGTTGGTTTCAGTGTCTAGTTCTGGCTCCTACCAGAGAGCTTGCCCAGCAAGTACAGCAGGTGGCCGATGACTATGGCAAATGTTCTAGATTGAAGAGTACTTGTATTTATGGAGGTGCTCCTAAAGGTCCCCAGATTCGAGACTTGGAAAGAGGTAATAATATATAGTGTAAAAGAATTGTTAGTTTATCTTACTTTACCAATTCCTGTGGAGGAAATTGGAGAAAAAAAGTGGGTTCTTGTGATAAACTCAGAATTTCAGCAGCTTAGAAATTCTCAGATGTGACTAAAACAGCTATTTTGAGAGAGAAGGTTCAGCATGGCTGGAAACTTTGTGAGGATTTGGTGATTGTACATAAGTCCTGACATGGTTTTGCGGTTACTTTGTTAAAATTTAGCTTCTCTGGGCCAGTGCGGTGGCTCATGCCTGTAATCCCAGCACTTTGGGAGGCCGAGGTGGGCGGATCACGAGGTCCAGAGATTGGGACCATCCTGGCTAACATGGTGAAACCCCGTCTCTACTAAAAATACGAAAAATTAGCCAGGCGTGGTGGCAGGTGCCTGCAGTCCCAGCTACTGGGGAGGCTGAGGCAGGAGAATGGCGTGAACCTGGGAGTCGGAGCTTGCAGTGAGCCGAGATCGTGCCACTGCATTCCAGTCTGGGTGACAGAGCAAGACTCCATCTCAAAAAAAAAAAAAAAAATAGCTTCTCTGCAGCATTGAGTACAGCCACCAGGGCTGCTGCTGCTGCATTTTTGTAGAGTCGGGGTCTTGCTATGTTGACCAGGCTGGTTGTGAACTGGCCTCAAGCGATCTTCCCGCCTCCTCTTCCCAAAGTGCTAGAACACAGCTGTGAGCCACTGCACCTAGTCGATTGGCTCGATCATTGGTTTTGTTTTACAGGTGTTGAGATCTGCATAGCCACTCCTGGACGTCTGATAGATTTCCTGGAGTCAGGAAAGACAAATCTTCGCCGATGTACTTACCTTGTATTGGACGAAGCTGACAGAATGCTTGATATGGGGTTTGAACCCCAGATCCGTAAAATTGTTGACCAAATCAGGGTGTGTAAAGCTAATAATAAGCAGTCTTTATGCCATTTGTCCAAGTTCCTTAGCCTGAAAGAAAGCCTTTCCTTTTTTGATAGCCTGATAGGCAGACACTGATGTGGAGTGCAACCTGGCCAAAAGAAGTAAGACAGCTTGCAGAGGATTTCCTTCGTGATTACACCCAGATCAACGTAGGCAATCTGGAGTTGAGTGCCAACCACAACATCCTCCAGATAGTGGATGTCTGCATGGAAAGTGAAAAAGACCACAAGTATGAAAGATATTTTACTCTGATTTGATAATGCTGATAAACCTTTTCTAATAACCCTCCAAAATTAGTACTGTAGAAACCAGTATATTTTGAGGCCTGAGAACATTAAAAGCATTGCTAGGTTTCTGATAATCCATCATCATATCATTTGTCAGAGCATTATGGTTAAATGCAAGGATTCTGAATTCTTGAGTTTGAAATTTAGCTCTGCTGATTACAAGCTGTATAATTTTGCACAATTTTGTGTCTTGGTGCTGCAGTTTCTTCATCTGTGAAATGGGAGTAATACCACTTACATGAGACTTGCTGTGAGGATGGTATGAGTTAGTATTTCTTGAGCACATAGCAGAACCTGACTCAGTACTCTAATAGTTATTAAAAATTTTAAAAGCGTAATGTGCAAAGAAAGTACTGTAGCCTTGGGAGTTGATATTGCAGACATAATCGTCCACATAATAACTTTCTGTGTGATGACTGCATTGTTGGTCATGTTTTCAGGTTGATCCAACTAATGGAAGAAATAATGGCTGAAAAGGAAAACAAAACAATAATATTTGTGGAGACAAAGAGACGCTGTGATGATCTGACTCGAAGGATGCGCAGAGATGGGTGAGTATAGCACCAAGGCAATTAACCTCTGGTTTTATAGTTAACTGGAAATTTCTAAATTGGTATTCCAAATGTTGTGTAATATTTCAATAATGCCTATCCATGCAGTTTGCTCTTTTAATGAGCACAGTCATCTATTCATGAAGCCTGACAAACCTTACAAAAATTGCATGATAGCATTTGGCTTTAAAGTTCGATTTTCTCCACTTTAAAAGATTTTTAAAATATTGGTCACTTTTCTTCTGATAGTTGGCCAGCTATGTGTATCCATGGAGACAAGAGTCAACCAGAAAGAGATTGGGTACTTAATGGTAAGTTTAAAACTAAGCATTTTCTGTTGATTCCCCACCCCCTGCCCATAAGTGAATGTTCATGCTCTATTTCAGGGATAGGCAAACTTTCTGTAAAGGGCCACATAGTAAGTATGCTTGGCTTTGTAAACCAAATGGTGGTCTCTGTTATAGCCACTCAGCACTGCTGTTTTAGGACAAAAGCTGTAGGCTGTAGATAATATGTAAAGAAGTGGCCTGGACTGGGCACCGTTGGTGGCTCATGCCTATAATCCTAACACTTTGGGAGGCTGAGGCGCGTGGATCACCTAGGCCCAGGAGTTCAAGACCGGTCTGGGCAACATAGTGAAATCCTGTCTCTAAAAGAAAAACAAAACAAAACAAAACTTAGCCAAGCTTGGTGGTGCACGCCTGTAACCCCAGCGACTCCGGAGATTGAGGTGGGAGGATTGCTTGAGTCTAGGAGACAGGTTGGAGTGAGCCAAGATCGTGCCACTCCAGCCTGGGTGACAGGGTGGGACCCTGTCTCAAAGAGATAAACGTGGCTATGTTCAGACAATATTTATTTGCAAAAATAGGCGTTGTGCCAGATTTGGCCCAAAGGCCAGTTTGTCTTACCCCTGTTGTATAGTTGATTGAATTACTGAGGGTACTTTTAGCGTGTGCTCATGGTTCTTTAAGGGCCACGATGCTGGCTCTTTAAACTTTTTCACAACTTTCACCACCCTCCCTTTATTAATAAAGTCTTCAATTTTTTCCTTCTGATTATAAAAATATAACTACCGTTTGGGGAGAATTAAACTGTTACTGAAATATTTAAAGAAAAATGTTTCTTAATGAGTCATATTTTAGCATATTTCCTTTCAGTCCTTTTTTTCAGGACTACTCTTAAGGGAAGCCATTGAGAAATGGAAGAGGCCATATTTTGTTTAAGAAATAAAATGTGGCCGGACACAGTGGCTCACGCCTGTAATCCCAGCACTTTGGGAGGCTGAGGTGGGCGGATCACCTGAGGTTGGGAGTTCGAGACCAGCCTGACCAACATGGAGAAACCCCGTCTCTACTAAAAATACAAAATTAGCCGGGCATGGTGGCATATGCCTGTAATCCCAGCTATTTGGGAGACTGAGGCAGGAGAATCGCTTGAACCCGGGAGGTGGAGGTTGCGGTGAGCTGAGATTGCGCCACTGCACTCCAGCCTCGGCAATAAGAGCGAAACTCCATCTCAAAAAAAAGAAAGAAAAATAAATAATATGCATACCTTTTGGGGGGAAATTCAGTTCTTTTCATTCTACATCTTTTGAACTTGTTTCCTACTGACCCCCAACTTTTGGTTGTGTCTCATTTGGGAAATAACTTTAAGGGGAAAAAAATCTAGCTCATATTAATTATGTAACAAATTGCCACACTCTCTTAACGGTATTTCATTATTAGTAGAGGTAACTATTGTGCTGCTGAATATGAGTGTAATAAAGATTTTCAAAAGAATCACTGTCAGTCATTACAAGAGCTTGGGATTTTCTGGCACCATTATTTGAAATTTTAACATGGTTATGTAAACAGATCAGATAGCAAGGAATGCTTATTTGATGATGATTATTGTTTGTTTTTACAGAGTTCCGTTCTGGAAAGGCACCCATCCTTATTGCTACAGATGTAGCCTCCCGTGGGCTAGGTTTGTATAGATAGGTGTCTCTGTCAATGGTATATGTATCTTTTGGTTTAAAGATTCGTCATTTCAAATTCAGACTTCAAGTTTAGAAAGTTGTATATACATGTGGTTAGATAAATATTTGAAAGAAAAAAATACAAAGCGTGATTCTCCCCATTCCCTGCCCCCCCCACAATTTTTTTTAACTTTGGTTTCCCCCACCCCCCTTTTATTTTCAAAGTCTCTTCCTGCTCCTAACAAACAGGCTTTGGTCTGCAGCAAGGCCTAGGCATGACTATTCAAACAGAGGGAGAGGAGACAGACAGCTGAATGGCTCAGCTTCTCTCTGGTGGTGGTTTCTGGCTGGATAGAATAAGCCTGACGAAACCTAGCTATTGTAAGCTAGTTTCTTCAGTTATTCTTTTCCCTATCCCTGTCTAAGCTAGATATATACAGAGAGGTCCAGTTTTATGAATGCTTATTAGATGGAATTTTATAAGTCTAATGCAGTATCAGAATAGCAAATATGTGTATTGCCCAGTTTAATTTACTGAGGTCAAATTATCATGGGCACTTGGCTATCCCCTCCTACCCATGCACTTATCTGTAGGTGTGTTATCAACTGATGATTTTCTGGAGTTTTTGACCCATTACCATTTAAGATATACAGAGAATTTTATGGTAGTTTAGCCCACTATTCTGAGCTAAACAGGTCTAACTCAGAACTTCTATATTTTAAAAAAAAAGATTATTTGTATTACAAGGAAATCCTTAAATTATTGACAGGTATTTAATTTGCCCAGTAAGGTGAGAAGTACCATATTATTCCCTTATACTATATAATATAAAGAGAACAGGTATTCAAACTGGAATACAAAAGTAATGAAGCCTTTTTATGCATTGCACTCATCATTCCCTCCTTCAGAGGTGGTGACCTGCAGCCATGATGGAAAGTTCTCTCTGCCCCTCTGCCCTCTGAGGTCATGTCTGGATCTGTGCCATTAGAACTTGGGCCTGTTGGGAGAGGAGGCGGAGGCCTGAAAGCAGTTTACATAAAGCTTTCAGTAATGGTTGGTTTTTAAACAGGCTTGCTATGTGCTGGTAGCTTCTTTGTGCATCTTGCCTAGACAATTAAAAATATTTGCTCCATGTCCCCTTGCATTTCTAAACCAAATTAATTGGCTACCATTAGAATAACTTAGACTCTTCATCCCACCCCCACTCATCCAAGTGAGGGGAGAGGGAAGGTACCCGAGTCTGTTTCTTGTTACTCAACATCAGTGCTTGTTTTGGGCCCCTTTGTTTGCTGCCTTGTAAAAAATCAAAAGAGGGAGAAAACCCACCAAAATGGCAGAATTCTGACCAATGTCCTACAAGATCCTGGAAAGTGAAGGCTTCTACCTCATAGACAGGGGTGCAATTTTCAGCTGAGTCACCAGGGCCTTTTTTCACTTCCTGTCAAGCGATGGTCTCTTAAATGTTCCCTTCAGGTAAGTTCTTTGATTCCCATAATTTTATAATAGTCATCCTTAGGCTACCACTTCCCTTTCCACTGGGATATTTTTTATTTTTCCTTTTTTTTGTTTGAACTACACACTGTTAAACTAAAAGTATTGAATTTATTTTGTTTTGTTTTTTAACAGAAGCTTTGATATCAGCTGCAGATCACTCAATACATGGCCGAGACAAATCTACATTGGCCGGAAGCAGCTCTAGATGAGCCTCTTGGCTAGACTTAGTCCCTCCTTATTAGTGATTGGCGATTCAGGCCATGTCATAGGGCCTTTCAGACAAAAGGTTCTTATCCCAGTCAGCTGGCCAAAACATTAACTTTGGATTTCTTACCCTGCTACAGCATCTTCTAGAAAGGCAGCAAGATAATATTGTGGCAGTGCACAGATAACATCAGGGTAGACTTGACTGGAGAAAACCAAATTCTGCGCTTGCTCCTGTGTGCCCCCATCCAGCTGTGCATGCACACACAGGACACCTTTCTAGTATGAAGAACTTGCATCATGTCTGCCCTCTATTGAGCACCCCCTTCTAGAAATACTTCCAAGTATTAGCATGTGAACTGTTGACTCCACCCTGGTGCTTTCTGCTAGGAAAGCACACTTAACGCATCCAGTGTAGTAATTGAACTTGTTCTACTGCCATGGTCATATGCAGTGGGATTGCATAAGGAGCATTATCCTAGCTCTGAAGATACCATGGAGTAGAATTCCCCACCCCCTGTCTTACATCCACCCTGGCCCTGTAAATTCTTTTTTCCTTTGTTGCGTCAACGACCCTAGCCGGAGACTCAAGCTGCCCCCTGTGATAAGTGCCTTCTCGTCTTTCTGGTGTGATTCAGGACTTTAGGGGTCAGTAAAGACCGAGGAGCCTTTATTGTAATAAGAAACAGACATAATGCCCCTTCTTCACAAGCCCTGTAACAACAGCTAATTTTTTTTTTTTAATCTCCCCTTTCTCCCTTGAAATTAATCCAGTCTGGGCAATAGATGCAGTCTGACCCTTTGGATGTAACTTACATTTTTTTTTATTAATTATTTTTTTCTACAATCACCCCAATTATCCTTGGGGGAGGCGTTGGAGGACCTGAAATTTTTACCCGAACCCAGGTTCTCCGGCGCTTGGCAACCAAATGGGGCTACAGAGAAGCATCTAAGCCAGTTCACAGAGCGAGCGTGTGTGGGGACTTCTCACTGCCACGGACCCTTGATGCATGCTCCCCGCGCTCCAGTGGTCCCGTGTCAGAAGGCGGAGTTTTCGAAAGGAGGCCGCCAAAAATAAAAGGCAAAGAGACGGGATCGGCTGCAGCGGTTTCCCAAAGGAGGAGGGAGTGTGCATCGGTCTGGTAACAAACAGAGAATGTTTTTTAATTATTTATATCACAAAAATCTGTGTTTTATCTAGGATATTTTCTGAATATTCTTTGTAAAATGCAGATTTTTTTCCACAAAACAGTAGGATTCTTTGTTATATTCTTAAAATTGTTTGTTTAAGTAGGTAAAAATATACATTCAGCTGAAAGCATTACACTAACATTTACATTTTAAGCCTTAGGAGGTTATTCAGCCCAATTCCCAGCAGTAGAGAGAATACTAAACTTGTGTCTCAAGGTTTCATGGTTTTCCCACGTTCTTTGGCTATTAATTTAATTTCCCAGGTCACGTAGACAATCATTGATAATTGAAACAAGTCCTGAGTTGAAATAACCTTGAGTTGAGCAAAAATATCCTCATTTTGGCAGAAGCTGGGCTTGGTAGTACAGTAAAATTTTAGTGTAATGTGCTCTTGTAATTGAAAGGGGATAGATAATCTGGATGTTTCTGCAAAGGAAAATAGGTGTGTACTTAACAGCTTTGGCTCTACTCAGTTTCTTAAAAAGATAAGAGCAAAAAAAGTTAAATGTTAATCAAAACATTTAAGTTTCCTTTAAATTGTAGTAATAAAATATATGAAGCTCCTTTTTTTACTTTGCTCTGTGACTGGTTTAAAGGTAAGTTTGTTATGTTGTTGGTAGATTTTGCCAGGCTTCTCCCAACAGAGTAGAAGTGATTTGGCCTCATAACTTCACAGTGGTTTACCACTTTGTTCTATGTTCTGGTTTTGTAAAGGATAGTACTGGAATTTGCGTCTGAAGACCAATATTGGTGTAACTCCTGTCAGTATATTGGTAAAATGTAGCAGAGGCAGGAGTTTGGATGTTTGGATGGGATTCCCTTAGGATTCTACAGCCAATAAAGATCCTATTTCCTATGCATGTCCCAGGAATCAGTAATCCTCTTTTACTCTGTTGGGATGAGTCTTTTTTTGTTTCTGTTCAGAGTGGTTACTAACTTCACCTTCTTTCCTCTTGCTGTCATCTGCATTCGTGCTTCCCACCTGTTGTTGGCATGTCCTTTACCTTCTCTTTCCCTGCCACATCAACCTACACACTGACTCATCATTGACGTGGAAGATGTGGAAGATGTCAAGTTTGTGATCAACTATGACTATCCAAACAGCTCAGAGGATTATGTGCACCGTATTGGCCGAACAGCCCGTAGCACCAACAAGGGTACCGCCTATACCTTCTTCACCCCAGGGAACCTAAAACAGGCCAGAGAGCTTATCAAAGTGCTGGAAGAGGCCAATCAGGCTATCAATCCAAAACTGATGCAGCTTGTGGACCACAGAGGAGGCGGCGGAGGCGGGGGTAAGGGTAAGTCCTGGAGTTTTCCAGGTACTGCCAAGGTATCTCTTTACGCCTTCTGTGACTTGCTTTTAGTTGCTGTTTTTAAGAAGGCTGTAAGTATGTTGCTTAATAGCAAAGGACACTGCCTAATGCTTTTTATAACCTTTTTCAACTAAGAAAACGTGAAGTTTGTTGTGATAGTCCTATTAGTTAAGCTAAATTGTGAATTTTTTTTTCTTAGAGACTGGTCTGAGGTTTGGTTTTGTTTGTTTGTTTGTTTTGAGACGGAGTCTTGCTCTGTCGCCCAGGCTGAAGTGCAATGGCGCGATCTCAGCTCATTGCAACCTCTGCCTCCCAGGTTCAAGTGATTCTCCTGCCTCAGCCTCCCAAGTAGCTGGGATTACAGGCACCCGCCAGCACACCCTGCTAATTTTTGTATTTTTAGTAGAGGTGGAGTTTCACCATGTTGGCCTGGCTGGTCTCGAACTCCTGACCTCTGGTGATCCACCTGTCTTGGCCTCCCAAAGTGCTGAGATTACAGGAGTGAGCCACCAAACCTAGCTGAGGCTGGTCTGTGGAGTTTCACCATGTTGGCCTGGCTGGTCTCGAACTCCTGACCTCTGGTGATCCACCTGTCTTGGCCTCCCAAAGTGCTGAGATTACAGGAGTGAGCCACCAAACCTAGCTGAGGCTGGTCTGAGTTTTAATGTGGTTGCTTTGGCGGGGCGGGGGCAGAGACAGTCTCACTCTGTTGCCCAGACTGGAGTGCAGTGGCACGATCTCGGCTCACTTCAACCTCTGCCTCCTGGGTTCAAGTGATTCTCCTGCTTCAGCCTCCCAAGTAGCTGGTACTACAGGTATGTGCCACCATGTCCAGCTAATTTTTGTATTTTTTGTAGAGACAGGGTTTCACCATGTTGGCTGGTCTTGAACTGCTGACCTCAAGTGACCCTCCTGCCTTGATCTCCCAAAGTGCTGGGATTACGAGAGTGAGCCAGTGTGCCCCCGGTCATGGTTGCTTTTTTAATACTTTCAAAAATGCTTAGTAGTATATTAGGTTTCCAGTTTTCCATACGGAGAGGTCAGTCATTTTACACTGTTTAGTGGTGGGTAGAAACTGAGACATAGCAGTTGCATCTACAGTTGCAGAATATCCTAGGATCTGGGCTTCCTGACTCAAGGTTTCATATTGTAATACCGTGTTTCTTGATCATCCTCAAGTAAGGGGCCTAAAAGGGTGAAAAGGTCTAGTGTCCTTTAATTTTTACTGTGCTTTTGAATGTGCCCCATTAAAGAATCAAATTATGAGTATATTTTTACAGTACTAATTGGGAGGCTGGCCAGCATAACTAAATATCAAGGAGACATGTTTAATACTTTTGTACCCAGTAGAATTTTTACATTGTTATGTTTAGGTCCTATATCTGCCATTAAAAATCTTCTTGTATCTTCCCATTAGGTGGTCGTTCTCGTTACCGGACCACTTCTTCAGCCAACAATCCCAATCTGATGTATCAGGATGAGTGTGACCGAAGGCTTCGAGGAGTCAAGGATGGTGGCCGGAGAGACTCTGCAAGCTATCGGGATCGTAGTGAAACCGATAGAGCTGGTTATGCTAATGGCAGTGGCTATGGAAGTCCAAATTCTGCCTTTGGAGCACAAGCAGGCCAATACACCTATGGTCAAGGCACCTATGGGGCAGCTGCTTATGGCACCAGTAGCTATACAGCTCAAGAATATGGTGCTGGCACTTATGGAGCTAGTAGCACCACCTCAACTGGGAGAAGTTCACAGAGCTCTAGCCAGCAGTTTAGTGGGATAGGCCGGTCTGGGCAGCAGCCACAGCCACTGATGTCACAACAGTTTGCACAGCCTCCGGGAGCTACCAATATGATAGGTTACATGGGGCAGACTGCCTACCAATACCCTCCTCCTCCTCCCCCTCCTCCTCCTTCACGTAAATGAAACCACTCAAGTGGTAGTGACTCCAGCAGACTTAATTACATTTTAAGGAACACTGTCTTTCCTTTTTTTTTCCTCTTCGCCTTTTCTTTTTTTTTCCTTTTTTCTTTTTTTTTTTTTAATTTTTCCCCCCAACCATCGTGATTTGTCTTTTCATGCAGATTAGTTAGAATTCACTGCCAGGTTTCTTCTGCCCACCAAAATGATCCAGTCTGGAATAACATTTTGTAAAAAAAAAAAAAATATATATATATATATATAGCTGACTGGAAGAGATTAATTTCTTCCCCCAACTTCTTGCATGTTGAAGATATTTGAGCTATTTTTCATCTAAAAGAGTAAGGTATTAGGCCCTTTTGTGGGAGCCCCATGTTTTGTTTTTCTGAGTTGGTGGGGAGGGAGGGAGGGGGAGGGCTGAATTGTTTTGCAGAGGAAGATGGCATCTGTGCTTTAAATTTCTCATTACTGGGTTAGAAAACAAAGAGGGATTGCCCTGCACATTTTCTTTTGTGCTTTTAAATGTTTCTTAAGTTGGAACAGGTTTCCTCGGGCCTGTTTTGACTGATTGCTGGAGTGCATTTGATAGTTAAAAATTACTAATTGGTTTTATTTCCCTTCACACTCTGCCTCCCCACTTCTCCCCCCGTTACTGAAAAATAACCATTTTAGTGTCAGGCTAGAAATTGAATTGCTGAGTTTTGTGTATCCTTTAAATTAAAAACCACAAGTGTTTATTGTAGTGGTTAAACTGTAGCATCTCAGCATCTGGGTGGAAGCTGCCTATATTTCTTCCCAGTTTAACTGGGGACCATCTGTGAAATTAATTTTCCATCCAGACAGCTGCTGTGAGCAAATGAACATAAATGCTCGCTGGAAATTTACTAACCAGTTTTTATATTGACCTGCAGTGTAAAAAGCACATTTAATTATAAACAATATATTCAAAATGGGCAAATTTTATTTTCAAATGCAGTGTAGAGCTAGATTAAAAGCAACTCTTTGCCACCTACTCTGCCCTTTTGGCAAAGTTACCTTGAACAAAGAATCTTAAGGGTTTATTAAGAACTCTTTATTTTCTTCATACCCTGTTCTCTGCAGTGCTTTCTAACAGCTTCTGGGTGCAGATTTTCTTCGGCATCCTTTTGCACTCAGCTTATTACAGGTAGGTAGTGCTTAAGAAAAGTCATGGAGGACTAAAGCCTAAGTCCTTTTCACTTTTCCTCCATCTGAAGGTAGGTGAGTTCATCCTCTTCATGGTAATGCTGTTTTACCAAGACTTTATAGCAGATGGACCCAGAAAGAATTTTCTGCTATTGTGTTCACTACAACAGGATAGGGACATCAGACAGCCCCAGAAACCCCTTCCAGATCTGATATGGGACTATTAATTTTTATGCTGTTAATTGGTATTCATTCACAATGCAGTTGAAGGGGGAAGGCTCCACTGCATTCTTTGGCTAAGGCCTGAATGCTTGCTCATCTGTAAGATCTATACTCGAGGTTTTGTTTTCCTTTTAAAATTCTTTAGGGAGAGAGGGATGGTTTCTGAGGGGTTCTGAAAGTATGATTCAATGTGCAACATACAGGTAGGTCTTCAGCATAAGCTGAAATATATGCATGTAAAAACTTTGACATCTTTTTTTTTAATTTTCCACTTTCTTCTTAACTTTACTTCTCTTTTTGTCCCCCCCCCATCTTACAGAAGTTGAGGCCAAGGGAGAATGGTAGGCACAGAAGAAACATGGCAAACTGCTCTGTGCTTTCAAACCAAAGTGTTCCCCCCAACCCCAAATTTGTCTAAGCACTGGCCAGTCTGTTGTGGGCATTGTTTTCTACAACCAAATTCTGGGTTTTTTTCTTCTTTCTTTAAACATAGAGGTACCACCACAAGGGATGCCCTACTCTCTCGCAGCTCTTGAAAGCATCTGTTTGAGGGAAAGGTCTCTGGGCAAGCAAGTGGTTATTTGGATTGCTTGCTTCCCTTTTTCCACCTGGGACATTGTAATCATAAAATAACAGTAAATTCCAAACCTCAAAAACTATTATGGCCTGAGCACAGCTGAAATCTAGCAGAGTTTAACTCTTCTGCCTCCATGTCTGTCACTTATAATTCAGGTTCTGCTGTTGGCTTCAGAACATGAGCAGAAGAATCGTTTTATGCTAGTTATTGCATTCATGGTTGAAACTCAACTTAGGGAAAGGGTTCCAATGTATTAAGCAATGGGCTGCTTCTCCCCAATCCTCCCTAACAATTCGTTGTGTGGACTTCTCATCTAAAAGGTTAGTGGCTTTTGCTTGGGATCAGTGCTCTCTATTGATGTTCTTGCTGGTCTCCAGACACATTCCTGTTGCATTAAGACTTGAAAGACTTGTAGATGTGTGATGTTCAGGCACAGGATGCTGAAAGCTATGTTACTATTCTTAGTTTGTAAATTGTCCTTTTGATACCATCATCTTGTTTTCTTTTTGTAGGTATAAATAAAAACACTGTTGACAATAAGGTGTGAGCTTTTATTGCTTAATTCTCTGAATAATTCAACGTAGACGTCTTAAAACAGTTTTTGTTTCAAGACAAAGATGGGGGATATTGGATTGACTGATTACTTTCGCACCTAAAACTGAAAGGAAAAAACTTAATACAAGAATTGGAATTGAAAACCCTAGCAGGATACCTAGTAGGTAAGGGTTTGGATATATCTGTATCTGCTCATAAGTAAAACAGTGATTGTGCAAATGGTACTCGCCTAAGTACCATTAGGTTATTGGTATTAAGGTACTAAGTACAAGGCAGGTATCAGCCACTGGTTTGAAAAAATTCAAACCAGTAAAAGATGAGTCACAAAACTCCTCCAGCCAAACCTGGTAAATTTGGTTTGCTTCTGGCCTGAAGGCAGTGTGAAAGTGAAATAAGTTTCACACTTAAAACTAGCTGACACCTTTATATCTTGACCACCTAAATTTGGTCATCTACCTGGAAAGTGGAAATTCACAAGAACGTACCCTAATATTTTAACTGGTCTTTAGTTGGGACATTCTAAGAGGAGGGACATTGTTCCAGATTGGGGTTGACTTGCTCATCATGAGTCTTGCCCTCAGGCCTTGGAGAACAATCATTTATGTTTTTTATTTCGTCGGTAAGACACCTTAAGGTTTCTTGTTGCAGTGAGGCACCATCTTTGTGCAGGTGGCCGAGGTTTTTTATGACCTTACAATGGGTCTTTAAGGGCGATCTATTGATGAGAAGGTCTTCTGGGTGGGATGATCAGGTTTTGCTGAAATCCACACTAAACACTTTTCTGGTTTTAACATTTGATCCCAAATTATGGATAAGTTGCCAAAGAGAACATTCAAAATAGTTTCCTTCATGTGCTTGTTAAGGCGTAGACTGTCTCTGAAGGTCCTCAGATTGGCATTGGAAGACTTAACTTCTTTCCCTTAAGGACTGGAAGAAAATGGAGATGAAATAAGAATTTACCATCTGATGAAAGGACTGCTTTATAACTTGATGCATAATCTTGGTATCATCTCTTAATGGCCGGCTCACAGTATATGTTCGATTGTTAAAGCAAAGGGGGAGTCCATCTCCGGTTGACTATGGACCTACTGATCCCCGACTTGGTTACTGGCACCCTTCCCCCCAGCTGTAAACTTAGCGATTGGCCTCAAATTGTCTATTGTACATCTCATACAATCAAATCAGCAGTCCTTCTCAAGTCCTAGAACTTGTGTCCACATGTCTTTCTACCTAGAGCCTTTTTCCTGATCAACTGCAACTGCCCCATAGCTAGTCACTGTACTTGGACTGCTTTCTACCCTACATAGCAGCTAGTGGATTGGGTTTTTTAATGACCCAATACCTGCCCTTGGCAATCAGAATGTAGTGCAAGCCCCTTACCCTGGCCTACGAGGCGCTAGGTCAAGCTTGTCCAACCCGCGGCTCAGGATGGCTTTGTGGCCCAACACGAATTTGTAAACTTTCTTAAAACATATGAAGTGTCTTTTTGTTTGTTTTTGCTCATAAGCTATCAGTGTATTTTATGTGTGGCCCACGACAATTCTTCAGTGTGGGCCAGGGCAGCCAAAAGGTTGGACACCCCTGCCCTATGTGAACTGGTCTTGGTTGACTCATCTCCAGGTTTATAGATTTTGACCCCACTAGGCTTTTTGTCCATCACACCAAGCTGGTGGTTGCCTTGGGGCTTGTAATAAGTTCTGGAATGTTTTTCACTACTAACCAAGTATTCTGTCAAATGTCATCTCACAGCTGTCTTGCATAGTACACATAACCTATTGGCCTGCATGTTTTTATGGCATTTGTTTCTTTATTGAAAATATTTGTCTTCTTGCATTAGAACACAAGCATTGTGGATGGCAGAGACTTGACTGTTCACATCTGTATCTGCTGGAATACTTATTAAATGGATGAGTAACTCCTTAGGCCAGTGTCAGCATTGCTGTCATCCCAGGACCTACCTTTGGTCACATACAAGTAGAAGAAGTCACAGTAGAAGATGGTTTGTACTACTCCAGACACGACTGCAATTTGGTCATAGAAATTCTCAGTCTGGTACCGCCTGATCCAGTTAGCCAGGTAGAGTGCCCGGTACAGACCCAGAAAGAACAGGTAGTGAGTAGTTATGGTCTCAGCCTCTCCAGTCTTGCTGATCATGAAGAGCTGGGGCAGGATAGCCACTGATTCCAGATAGATAGAGAAAGTCCAGAGGATCTGAGCCAAAGAGAAAGCAACCAGAGACTGAGCAAGACCAAGAAGAGGCCCATCTTAAAAGAACATAATTACTAAAACAATAGCTTGCTGGAGAAGGTACAGTAAGGAGGGAAAAAGTTCTCAATAAAAATTATAATATTTTAATCAGTTTAACCTACCATCTCTAGGTAAATATAAGGGTTTTTTTTTCTAATTTTTGAAAGATTATACAGTACACTGCTTTTTTCACAGTGTAGCGTGAGCATTTATATAGAAAACTACTTTTAATTTTTTTTTTTTTAAGATAGGGTCTTGCTGTTGTCACCCAGGCTGGAGTGCAGTGGCATGATCATAGCTTGCTGCAGTCTCAAACTCCTGGGCTCAAGTGATCTTTCCATCTCACCTTCCTTAGTAGCTGGGACTACATACAGGCATGTGCCACTACACCCAGCCAAAAATAACTTTTTTATTTATTTTTTTGAGATGGAGTCTCGCTCTGTCTCCCAGGCTGGAGTGCAGTGGTGCGATCTCGGCTCACTGCAAGCTCCACCTCCTGGGTTCACTCCATTCTCCTGTCTCAGCCTCCCGAGTAGCTGAGACTACAGGCGCCTGCCACCACGCTCGGCTAATTTTTTTTTTTCTATTTTTCAGTAGAGACAGGGTTTCACTGTGTTAGCCAGGATGGTCTCGATCTCCTGACCTCATGAGCCACCGTGCCCGGCCAAAAATAACTTAAATGATAGTTTCATAGTATAAAATCATAATTGAAGCCACAGTTTCTTAAAATCTAGTCATGTTGCCAGGCTCACACCTATAATCCGAGAACTTTGGGAGGCCGAGGTGGGTGGATCACTTGAGGTCAGGAGTTGGAGACCAGCCTGGCCAACATGGTGAAACCCCGTCTCAACTAAAAATACAAAAATTAGCTGAGTGTGGTGGCTCGTGCCTATAATCCCAGTTACTTGGGAAGCTGAGACAGGAGAATCACCTGAACCCAGGAGGCAGAGGTTGCAGTGAGCTGAGATCCTGCCACTGCACTCCAGCCTGGGCAACAGAGTGAGACTCCATCTCAAAAAAATAATAAAAAATTAGTCATGTCCATAAACACCAGCATCAGAATCTCCCATGATGCTTGTTGCCTGCAGATTCATGGGCCACAGTCCAAACTTACTGAGTTGAAATTTCTGGGCCTGGACTGTGCTACAGGGATACAGGGATCTGCTAATCGGTTGAACAGAACGTCTCAACAGCCAGAAGTAGGGCTGTGATGCCTGCTTGGTTTATGGGCATCATGACTATTGAGATGTGCTCATTTCCAACTAAAGCATTGTAAATAGCTTGTCAATTTCTTCTCAACTTATAACTGAAAGATACATGAGTAATGGTCACAGTTGTAAGCAGAAGGCAAGCCCAGGGTCTGGAGGGAAGGATGCAGGGAGCATATTTCCCTTTGAGAACTGGTACTCAGTCCATTCCCTTACCTCCAGCAGAGTGAAACTGTAGTTTTCAAGGAAGGAAAGGCCAATGACTGGGACCAGAAGAAACTCCAGGCGGAATGTGTCATTCTCACTGTCAAAAGTTTTACGGAATTTCCCATATATCATGTACACTGTAACATAGGCACAGAGGAGAAAAACCACCTAAAAGGGGAGAGAGACATGGGAATCGAATCTATGAAGTCATTTCCCGGCCTATTTACTACGCTCCTAGCCTACCAAACCTAAGGGTCAGTGTTCTGCCATAATGTAACATGAAGAGGTTAAATGTGTTTGCAATTTATCTTGGGTCCAGTTGCCTAGAATTTGAAATCAGTGACCCTTTCATTAAATAACTCCATGCTTCTATACTGGGACTGACAGTGCTGCCATGAACAAAGGTGCCCTTGTCGTCCCCTTCATTTGTGGAGCATTAGGTGAAACAGGATTGGTCTATTTCAGGGGATTTACCAGAGGCATTCCAGGGCTCTTGAAACAATTTTAAAACAATTTCCTGGATATGCATCAGTGACTTCTGAGCATTCTTCCACAAGGACTAGCCTTTTTTTTTTTAAATGTTGCCCAGTCTGGCCTCAAACCCTGGGGTCGAGTGATCCTCCTGCTCCAGCCTCCCTAGAAGCTGGGACTACTTATGGCCTGCTAACATCCCTTGAACTAACTGACCATTGCTCCTTCAGAAAAGCTCTCCTAATCACAGTAGCTGTCCTCTGGCATATAATGATTTCATTTTGATATGGCCTCCAACCTTCCAGGCCAGCACTTCTCAAATGAGTGTGCATCAAAACACAGATGCTGCCTGGGTGTGGAGGCTCACACCTGTAATCCCAGCACCTTGGGAGGCCAAGGTGGGCAGATCACCTGAGGTCAAGAGTTTGAGACCAGCCTGGCCAACATGGTGAAACCCTGTTTCTACTAAAAATAAAAAAACTAGCCAGGCATGCATGCGGGCGCCTGTAATCCCAGCTACCTGGGAGGCTGAGGCAGGAGAATCGCTTGAACCCGGGAGGCAGAGGTTGCAGTGAGCCGAGATCATGCCATTGTACTCCAGCCTGGGGGATAAGAGTGAGACTCTGTCTCAAAAAAAAAAAAAAAAAAAAAAAAAAAAAATCACAGATGCTGTCTCTTCCCTTGCCCCAAGAGCTTTTGATTTCATAGGTCTGGATGGGCCTGAAAGTTTGTTCTTCCTTTTTTTTTTTTTTTTTGAGATGGAGTCTCGCTCTGTCGCCCAGGCTGGAGTGCAGTGGTGCAGTCTTGTCTCACTGCAACCTCCGCCTCCTGGATTCAAGTGATTCTCCTGCCTCAGCCTCCTGAGTAGCTGGGATTACAGGCGTGCACCACCATGCCCGGCTAATTTTTATATTTTTAGTTTCACCATGTTGGTCAGGCTTGTCTCGAACTCCTCACCTCAGGTGATCCGCCCGCCTCGGCCTCCCAAAGTGCTGGGATTATAGGCATGAGCCACCGAGCCCAGCCTTAAAAGTTTGTATTTCTAACAAGTTTCCCAAGTGACGCTGATACTGCCGGAGCAGGACCACACTGGCCTAGAGCACTCCTATTTGTACTCCTATTTGGAGTTATTTCCTCGAAGCAGTCTTTTTTTCACTACAATGAGGCACACATTCTGTCGCCATAGCTCCATGTGAACATACTCATTTTAGCCCGTGATCACATGCTCTGTAAATGTCTAGGTACAAGTCCATCTCCCCTCTAAGAGAGGACTCCGTGGCAAGGTCCACCTCCTAATCCCCAGCTCCTAACTCAGTCCCTGGCACAAAACAAATGCTGGAATGAGTGAATGAGGTGGTCACTTTTTCATTTCATAAATGTAGAAACTAGCCTCTTTGAGCTTCCTAGACCTCATTCAGCTATGGCAAGGGCTGAGTCTGCTGTCTCTGCCAGGAATGCCCAAGGCTGACTTGGGCTGAGAAATGAACTAGCAGGTGATGTTTGATACATGTGTGAACTTAAGTAGACGGTGATTTCCAGTCCTCAGATTCACATTCACTAAATCTGAATGAGTTCAACACCTCACAAGTAACAGCAACCTCCACTCTACCAACTAGTAACAACATGCCTGAAATCCCAAAGGGATGTCTCTGATATGGAAGAAAAGGACAACTCACTTTAGTTAAATATTTTCTAGGTGCTGTATGTTATCTCATGTGATCTTCTCAATAGCCCTGCAAGATAGAATTCCCCCATGGAACCCTTGTTCCTTAGAAATAAGATTCCTAGGCCAGGCACGGTGGCTCTCGCCTGTAATCCCAGCACTTTGGGAGGCCGAGGAGGGTGGATCACGAGGTCAGGAGTTCGAGACCAGCCCGGCCAACATAGTGAAACCCCGTCTCTACTAAAAATACAAAAATTAGCCAGGCATGGTGGTGTGCACCTGTAATCCCAGCTACTCAGGAGGCTGAGGCAGGAGAATTCGCTTGAACCTGGGAGGCGGAGGTTGCAATGAGCCGAGATCACACCACTGCACTCCAGCCTGGGCAACAGAGGGAGACTGTCTCAAAATAAAAAAGACTGGGCATGGTGGCTAATGCCTGTAATCCCAACACTTTGGGAGGCCGAGGTGGGCAGATCACGAGGTCAGGAGACCATCCTGGCTAACATGGTGAAACCCCGTCTTTATTAAAAATACAAAAAAAAAAAAAAAAAAGTTAGCCAGGCATGGTGGCACACATCTGTAATCCCAGCTACTCGGGAGGCTGAGGCAGAATCTCTTGAACTTGGGAGGTGGAGGTTGCAATGAGCCGAGATCGCGCCACTGCACTCCACCCTGGGCGACAGAGCTAGATTCTGTCTAAACAATAAATAAATAAATAACTTGAACCCGGGAGCAGAGACTGCAGTGAGCCAAGATCGTGCCACTGCACTCCACTCTGTCTCAAAAAAAAAAAAAAAAGGGGGGGCCAGGTGTGGTGGCTCACGCCTGTAATTCCAACACTTTGGGGGGCCAAGGTGGGCAGATCACGAGGTCAGGAGTTTGAGACCAGCCTGGCCAACATAGTGAAACCCCGTCTCTATCAAAAAATACAAAAAGTAGCCGGGCGTGGTGGTGGGTGCCTGTAATCCCAGCTACTCTGGAGGCTGAGGTAGGAGAATTGCTTGAATCCAGGAGGCAGAGGTTGCAGTGAGCCGAGATTGCACCACTGCACCCCAGCCTGAGCCACAGTGCAAGACTCCATTTCAACAACAACAAAAAAGAAGACTCCTGGCCGGGCGCAATGGCTCACACCTGTAATCCCAGCACTTCGGGAGGCCGAGGCGGGCAGATAACAAGGTCAGGAGATCGAGACCATCCTGGCTAATAAGGTGAAACCCTGTCTCTACTAAAAATACAAAACTTAGCTGGGCGCAGTGGCAGGCGCCTGTAGTCCCAGCTACTCGGGAGGCTGAGGCAGGAGAATGGCGTGAACCCGGGAGGCGGAGCTTGCAGTGAGCCGAGATTGCCCCACTGCACTCCAGCCTGGGCGACAGAGCGAGACTCCGTCTCAAAAAAAAAAAAGACTCCTAGCTGATCATGGTAATTCCAGAACTTCGGGAGACTGACACAGGCAGATCACTTGAGCCCAGGGGTTTGAGACCAGCCTGGGCAACATGGTGAAATCTTGTCTCTATTAAAAATACAAAAAAATTAGCCAGGCATGGTGGTGCGTGCCTGTAGTCCCAGCTACTCAGGAGTCTGAGGTGGGAGGACCCCTTCAGCCCGGGAAGTTGAGGCAGTGAGCCATGATCGCACCACTGCACAAGAAATAAGATTCCTATTAGATAATGTGTCCAACTAAAATCTACATCTTGGCTGGGCATGGTGGCTCACACCCATAATCCCAGCACTTTGGGAGGTCGAGGTGGGTGGACCACTTGAGGTCAGGAGCGTGAGACCAGCCTGGCCAACATGGAGAAACCCTGTCTCTCCTAAAAATACAAAAATTAGCTGGACATGGTGGCACATGCCTGTAGTCCCAGCTACTTGGGAGGCTGAGGCACAAGGCAAGCTCCCGGCTTGAAACCAGGAGGTGGAGGCTGCAGTGAGCTGAGATTGCGCTGCTGCACTCCAGCCTGGGCAACAGAAAACAGTGAGACTCCGTCTTAAAAAAACAGAAAGAAGGTGTGTCCTTTGATCTTTACATGGCTGGTTCCTTGTTGTCACTAAGCTGTCAGCTTACATGTCATCTCTTTGAAGATGCCCTGACCACACTCCCTGAAGTAGCTCTCTAATCCTTCTCTATCACCTAAATAATTTTTTTTTTCTTGAGACGGGATCTCACTCTGTTGCCCAGACTGGAGTACAGTGGCATGATCATGGCTCACTGCAGCCTTGATCTACCAAGATCAGGTGATTGTCCCACCTCAGCCTCCTGAGTAGCTGGGACCACAGATGAGCACCACTACGCCCAGCTAAATTTCTTAAATTTTATGTAGAGGCGGAGTCTCACTGCATTGCCCAGGCTGGTCTCAGACTCCTGAGCTCAAGCGGTCCTCTCGCCTTGGCCTCCCAAAGTGCTGGGATTACAGGTGTGACCCTTTATTGAATGTTTAATATATGGCAGGGTTTTTTACATTTACATTTATTATCTCATTTAATGTTCCCAACCAAACCCTCTGAGCTAAGTAATGGTACTGTCTTTTTTTTTTTTTTTTTTTTTTTTTTGAGACAGAGTCTCACTCTGTCACCCAGGGTGGAGTGCAGTGGCGCGATCTCGGCTCACTGCAACCTCCGCCTCCCAAGTTCAAGCAACTCTCCTGCCTCAGCCTCCTGAGTAGCTGGGACTGCAGGCATGAGCCACCACGCCCGGCTAATTTTTTGTATTTTTAGTAGAGACAGGGTTTCACCTTGTTAGCCAGGATGGTCTCCATCCGCCCGACTCGGCCTCCCAAATTGCTGGGATTACAGGCATGAGCCACAGTGCCCAGCCCTGTCCTCATTTTTGCACGAGGACACTGACATACAAAGAGGCCCAAGATGAGGTCTTGCAGCCACTAAGCAGCAAAGTCAGGATTCAAACCCAGGTCGGCCTGGCTCCACAGAATGAGTTTCCAAGCAGGCTACCTCACAGTTTGTGGGGGCTTGGTGGCTTCCCCCAACCATCATCACCCAGCCCCTCACCTTCATTACTGTGTTGTAGATGGAGATGAAGTTGGTGAACAGGTCCAGGTACCTGGTGGTGAAGACGAGAGCAAACAGGATCTGGCTCTTCCCAGAGATGCCTGTGGCCAAGGGTAGACAGGAGACAATGAGGACACAGACTCCCAAGCCTGCCCACCCTCAAGAGGTGCACAGCCTGGAGCTGGGGAGGCCTCTAGAGTGTCCACTCCCACTCAAAGACCTCCTGTCCAGGGCACTGTCGCTCCCTAAGGGCCAGGAAACTCACCCTTCCCATCGGATCACTTGAGTCGTCGTTCCTCTCATTAAACTGTAATCTGTCTCCCAGTCTCCAAATAAAGACACGAACACCGAGTTCCCAGTCCCCCTGCGTGTGCCTGCCTGGGCTCTTGCTCTGGGGAGGATGTCGGGGGTGGTGTGAGTCGGGCTTGGTGGGGGTTGTTGAGGCTTCTCTTCACTCCACCCCCAGAGTTCCACTGACAGTCCCCAAAGCTCAGTCTTAGGAGGAACAACTCACTGACTTTACAAGGTGTTGATTCACCAGGGAGACCAGAGCAGGCAGAGGAAGGTTCAGGGCCAGGGGAGCATTCTATTTTATTTTTCAAACTGTAAGATTTAAAAAGCCTTTTTTCTTTTTTCTTTTTTCTTTTTTTGAGATGGAGTCTCACTCTGTTGCCCAGGCTGGAGTGCAGTGGCGTGATCTCGGCTCACCACAACCTCTGCCTCCTGGGTTCAAGTGATTCTCCTGCCTCAGCCTCCGAAGTAGCTGGGATTACAGGTGCCTGCCACCACGCCTGGCTAATTTTTGAATTTTTAGTAGAGACGGAGTTTCGCCAGGTTGGTCATGGCTGGTCTCAAACTTCTGACTTCAAGTGATCTGCCCGCCTTGGCCTCCCAAAGTGCTGGGATTACAGGCATGACCCACCACGCCCAGCCAAAAAGCCTTTTTTCTAGTTACAAAAGTTATGCCTATATTTACTCTTTGCAAAACAAAAATCAAACAATATACAAAGATGCAAAGATAAAAATATTCCAAACCCCTAGTGTTCATCCTTCCATATCTTTGTGAACATGTACACACATGACACCTATGTGTACACATATGATGCACATGGATGCACTGAGTTGACAAAAAAGGGTTCATACTCTCCATGATGTTTCTTTCTTTTTTATTTTTTTCTTTTTAGAGAAAGGGTCTTACTCTGTCTCCCAGGCTGGGGTGCAGTGGTGCAATCATAGCTCACTGCAGCCTCTATCTCCTGGACTCAAACAATTCTCCTATCTCAGCCTCCCGAGTAGCTGGTAACTACAGACACAAACCATCAGACTGGCAAATTTTATTATTAATTATTATTATTATTATTTTTGTAGAGACAGAGTTTCACTATGTCGCCCAGCCTGGTCTCAAACTCCTGGGCCCAAGTGATCCTCCTACCTCATTCTCTCAGTGTTGGGATTATAGGCGTGAGCCACCGCGCCCAGTCTAAATGCTGTTTCTTGACCCACTTTGGTCTCTTTCTTTTTTTAACTTTTTATTTTGAAAGAATGTTAGATTTACAACAGAGTTGTAAAGACAGTACAGAGAATCCCACATATCCAGCTATATCTAGTGTTAACATCGTATTTGGGCCGGGGGCGGTGGCTCATGCCTGTAATCCAACACTTTGGGAGGCCGAGGCGGGCAGATCACCTGAGGTTGGGAGTTTGAGACCAAGCCTGACCAACTTGGAGAAACCCCATCTCCACTAAAAAATACAAAATTAGCCAGGTGTGGTGGCTCATGCCTGTAACCCCAGCTACTTGGGAGGCTGAGGCAGGAGAATCGCTTGAACCCAGGAGGTGGAGGTTGCAGTGAGCCGAGATCGTGCCATTGCACTCCAGCCTGGGCAACAAGAGCAAAACTCTGTCTTAAAAAACAAAACAAAACAAAACAAAAAAACATCGTATTTAGTGACAGTACTTTATCAAAACAAAGAAATCAACATCAGTAGAGCACTGTTGACTGAACTCCAGGCTTTATTCTGATTTCACCAGTTTTCCCACTGCTGCCCTTTTTCCATTCCTGGATTCCATCCCGGAATCCATGCTGCATTTTGTTGTCATGCTCCTTAGTGTCCTTTGGCCACTTTTTATTTATTTATTTATTTTTTGAGACAGAGTCTCACTCTGTCACCCAGGCTGGAGTGCAGTGGTGCGATCTCGACTCACTGCAACGTCTGCCTCCCGGGTTCAAGTCATTCTCCTGCCTCAGCCTCCCGGGTGGCTGGGATTACAGGCGCCCACCATCATGCCCGGCTAATTTTTGTGTTTTTAGTAGAGATGGGTTTTCACCGTGTTGGCCAGGCTGGTCTCGAACTCCTGACCTCAAGTGACTGCCCACTTCGGCCTCCCAAAGTGCTGGGATTACAGGCGTAAGCCACTGTGCCCGGACAGCAGTCTTGGTTATCAGATGGAAGAAACAGTATATATATAGGGTTTGGTTTAACCCGTGGTTTCAGGCATCCACTGGCAGTCTTGGAACATATCCTCCGTGGATAAGGGGGAACTACTGTGCTGTCTAATTCAGGGTCTGGTTCCCCTGTACCCCTGAACTGTGCCTTCTCTAACCATCCCTCTGGTTCCAGACATTTGGGGTGGGAGAACATTTTTTTTTCTTTTTTTGTGAGGCAGGGTCTCACTCTGTCACCCAGGCTGGAGTGCAGTGACACAATCACAGATCACTGCAGCCTCAACCTCCCAGGCTCGGATGACCCCCCTACCTTAGCCTCCTGAGTAGCTGGGACTACAGGCACATGCTACCATGCCCAGCTAATTTTTATATTTTTTCTAGAGACAAGATTTTGCCATGTTGCCCAAGCTGGTCTCAAATTCCTGGGCTCAGGTGATCCTCCTGCCTCAGCTTCCCAAAGTGCTGGGATTACATGGGTAAGCCACTGCACCCAGCCTGGGGGAACATTTTTAATGAGCAAGAAGGAACACCCCTGAAGTCCCTAACATTCTGGAGAATGTGCTGGCTTTAGGGCGAGCCTCGGTCTCACATTCCTCACCTGCCAAACGGCCCCTCATGCAGAGTGGCAGGACTGAGCTGAGGAATACACAGTGCTCAGTGAGAACCTGAGTCCCTCTGGGGGGTCTAGCACGCGCGCACGTGCACTAGCCGGGGTGAGGGCAACAGTGGGGCTGGCAGTGGGTAATGAACCCCACTGGGGGAGGCCATACTGACCTGAGGCCAGCTCTGGGATGGCCTGATGTTCATCTCACTGAGCCCTCACACAGACTTTGACAGAGAAGCCCTCAGCCCCACGAAGGACTGCCTGGGAGGCAGCCCTGGTGGGGGACGCTTGGTCACCCGCTTGGGCCTTCCCCTACCCCTCTTTTCTCTTCATCCTCAGCCTGCCAGTCCCCTGGGTTTTACTCACATTTTCCTTAGCACTTTGGGAACCCTTGTGATCTTCAGTTTTGTTTTGCTTGTTTGTTTGTTTGAGACAGAGTTCTGCTCTTGTTGCCCAGGCTGGAGTGCAATGGTGCAATCTCAGCTCACTGCAACCTCCGCCTCCCAGGTTCAAGCGATTCTCCTGCCTCAGCCTCATGAGTAGCTGGGATTACAGGCACCTGCCACCATACTCAGATAATTTTTTTGTATTTTTAGTGGAGACGGGGTTTCGCCACGTGCCAGGCTGGTCTTGAACTCCTGACCTCATGTGATCTACCCGCCTTGGCATCCCAAAGTGCTGGGATTACAGGTGTGAGCCACTGTGCCCAGCCCCCCGGTGATCTTGAGCACAATAGTTTTCACACTTTTGAAAACAATCATTTCCACCAGGAAGCTGCACATGGAGACCCGGGACACAGAGGACAATGTGAGCCTGGACTGGCCAGAGTCCCTCCGGGGTCCACTAAGCATAGGTGGACCCCACTGCCAGGGGCAGCCCTCACTCCCATTTGACAAATGGGAAAACACAGGCCCAGGGTCACACAGCGAGTCAAGGGGAGGAGTGAGAGTGAAGCCCAAGTCTCTGGTCTTTGGGGCTGGGTCTGTTGAGGTCATACCAGGCCCTGCCTCCATCACCTCTGACTTCTCTCTGTGCACACACAGGCCCATCCCTGCCACCCAGCTGCCCTTTTTCTGTTCCCATAGTACTCACTATGGCCTCCAACAAACCGTGTCATTTGCTCAGTTTCCTAGGACTATTGTTTATTGATGGCTTCCTACCACTAGAAAGTCAGGTCCACCACTTGGCCGGGCATGGTGGCTCACACCTGTGACTCGAGCCCAGGAGTTCGAGACCAGCCTGGCCAATATGGCGAAACCCCGTCTCTACTAAAAATACAAAAATTAGCTGAGTGTGATGGCGGGCGTCTGTAATCCCAGCTACTTGGAAGGCTGAAGCAGGAGAATAGCTTGAACCTGGGAGGCAGAGGTTGCAGTGAGCCGAGATTGCGCCACTGCACTCCAGCCTAGGGGATAGAACAAAACTCTGTCTCAAAAAAAAAAAAAAAGAAGTGGGCGCAGTGGCCCACGCCTACAATCCCAGCACCAGCACTTTCGGAGGCCGAGGTGGGTGAATCACCTGAGGTCAGGCGTTCAAGACCAGCCTGGCCAACATGGCGAAACCCCGTCTCTACTAAAAATACAAAAATTAGCCGGGTGTGGTGGTGCGTGCCTGTAATCCCAGCTACTCAGGAGGCTGAGGCAGGAGAATCGCTTGAACCTGGGAGGTGGAGGTTGCAGTGAGCCGAGATCACACCACAGTACTTCAGCTTCAGGGACAAAGCGAAACTCTGTTAAAAAATAAAAATAAAAAATAAATAAAAGAAAGTCAGCTCCACCAGGGCTGGGCCTCTGCTGTCCGGGCTGTATTCTAGGTGCCCAGCAGTGTCTGGCAGACAGCGGCCAGGTACCAGTGTCCCCTCTTGGTCATGGTTGCTCACTCCGTGCAGGGCCTTCTGCAAAAGTGCAGGAAGAGGTTGGAGCTGATTCTCCCCTCACCAGGGCCTGCTGCTCCGGGTCCCCCACTCAGCATTCCTGGCCACCTCCCCTGAGGAAGAACCTGAACTGTCTCTGTACCTGTCTCTCCAGAGACCCCAAACCCAAATGGCCTCCAGGCCTAGAACCACTCCCTCCACACCGTACTGTTGCTCATGTCTGCACCAACCCCCACCCTGCCAGGCCTCCCCCTGCTCTGTGCCTTTTCTCTCAAAGCTTGCAAAGCAACCTGTTCAGGCCCCCTTCCAGGCCCCTTCCCGGCTCCCAAACCATGAAGGGCTCCCCAGACCCAACTCCCTGGCCTGGCAGAAAAGGCCCTTTCACATCTGGACCAGCCTCCCTCCTGGACTCATCTCCCTCCAGACCACCCCAAATCTGGCTGCCCACCCTTCCCGGGGGATGCCCGGTGCTTGGTGACCTCCATGCCTCTTCATCCCCGGAGCCCTCCACAGCACACACTTCCTGGATTGACACCTGCTCGTCCTCCGGGACCAGCACGGAGCTGCTCCTTCCACAGGGCCTTCGGGGCCCACTCTCAGCCTTCTCAGCCTCCTCAGCCCCACGAGGAGCCTGAGCTCACTCCTGCCTCTGCACACCCAGTGCCAGGCACAGGGAGGGCACCACGAGGATGCCGGTGGACAAAGATGGCTGGAGGAGGCTCTGGCAGCCTTTCGTGGCTCTGGATCTGTTGGCGACCGCGAGTCCAGCCTCCAAGCTTCTCCAAACCCCCAGCAGGGCAGCCAGAATGCAAACAGGGGACCCCTCCAGCCTTCCCCGGCTTCCGTTTAGAGGCAGCTCCATACCCGCCTGAGCCCGGCTGGTGCCCTCCTGCCACATCACAGCCACCGGTGCCACACATGCAGGCAGGGGAGGGACGAGGGCTCACTTTGGGGGGCGGGGTGGGGTCTGGGAAGGGGCAGGGAAGAGAAGACCTTGAGAATCGTGGGCCGTTCCTGAGTGCATATCTGCTTCTCCCCACAGTCGATGGTGGAAGGAACAATGGGTGTAACTGGTGGGAGGGAGGGGTTGTCACCTCCCTTATAACCCCCTCTTCCAACCAGCAGTGACACTGCCAACCTGAGGGGGCGTCTGTGCAGGAACAAACCCACCCGCCTCCCATCATCTCGAGGGGTCCTCCTCCTCTGATTTTATACAACTTTACATTGTTTTTGGAAGTGGAGCTCCGCAAAGTTTCAAGGACCCCCACGCCGGAGTCCCCACCCTGAGCAGACACCTGGAGCGCCCTGCCCTGCACGCAGGGGCATGAGGCTGGCCAGAGAGGGGGTCCCGCACCTCCCTGCCAGGCGCCCCTCACCCTTGCAGCACTTGGACCTCCAGATCTTCCCCAGCAGCAAGATCATGGCCAGGAGGTGGCTCAGGTCGCCGAGGATTCGGAACACGTTCATGGTCCAGCCAGTCAGTCGTGCGCCCGCGCCCAGCAAACTTCTAGGAAACTTTCTGGCGGGCAGGGCGGCTGCCACGTCTCCGGCCCCGGTCTCTAGGTGCCCCAGAGCCCTGCCTGCGCCTCACAGCTCCGCGATCGCACCCGCGCGCCGCCGCCCACGCACTCTTGGCCGGGCGGTGACGTGGCCAGGGCGGCCGCCGGCGCAGGGTGGGGAGCCAGGAAGCGGCGCGGCCCGGAGATCCCGCCTCCCGCCCATCCCAGCGCCCGGCTCCCGGACTGGGCGGCCCGGCGACGCGGGGGGGCTTCTGGCCTGCGCCCGGCTGCCGTGTGCGCCGGGTGCCCGCCACGACCCATGTCGCCCATGCCCCAAGTGCCCTCTGCCTTCCCTCCGCAGAAACTGGAGGCCTGCCACCAAGCCCCAATCTCTGCCTCAGTTTCCTCATCTGTACACAGGCCCCATAACACTGGTGCCAGCGCTTGGCAGGAGCCAGCACGTGGAAGTACCCTGTGGGGCGATTCCTGCTATTGTCCTCATCTTCCCGGAGCTGGAGCTCCCTCCCTGGGAGAGTGGGGTGGGGCGGGGCGAGCCGGAAGCGGAGTCCCCACCTCCGTCTGTTAATTTGGTTGTCCACCCGGTCGGGACCCGATCTTGCTGCAGGTGGACAATGGTAATGGCACACCACTCAGCAGCAGAATCAGACTGACCTCGGCTGCAGCCTGGGTCGGTGGGCCTTCCTCTCTCTTGGTCTCAATTTTCTCACCTGTAAAATCGGGTTGTTGTGGGTAGGCAGGAGGTCAAGCTGGTCAGGGAGATCCAGGGCCCTCGTTCGTGCCTTCCCTCTTCTTGGTGTTACTAGGATGTTAAACAGGGACACACAGGACAGGAGAGACCCAGGAGGGCTGAGCACCAGGAAGGGTGGGGAGTGAAGGGTCCCTGGTGGGAGGGAGTCCTCCCAGGGCTGTGTGGTCTGAGCAGGTCCACCACCCCCTCTGGATATAAGTCTCTGCGTCTGAAAGAGTGGACCAGGTGAGCTGAGGGCCCTTAGCCTCCCCTCCTTGACCTGAATAAGCCCTCCTCCCATTCAGCGCCCTCATCTCTCTCTAAATAACGGACCTCCTCCCACTCCCACCTCCTGCCACAGATAACCAGAGAGGCTTTTCCATGACAAATGTATTTAAACAGAGATGGGGTCTCACTGTGTTGCCCAGGCTAGTCTCGAACTCTTGTGCTCAGGCCATCTGCCTGCCTCAGCCTTCCAAATGCTGGGATTACAGGCATAAGCCACTATGGCCAGCCTCTTTTCTGTGATAAAAATCTGTCACTTCAGTGGTCAAGACCCTTCTATGGCTCCCTATGCCCCCTACTTTCCCTACTTTTCCTCCCAGGGAAAGGCAGTCCTTTTTTTTTTGAGACAGAGTCTCGCTCTGTGGCCCAGGCTGGGGTGCAGTGGCACAATCTCTGCTCACTGCAATCTCTGCCTCCCTGGTTCAGGCGATTCTCATGCCTCAGCCTCCCAAGTAGCTGGGATTACAGGCGCCCGCCACCACGCCAGGCTAATTTTTGTATTCTTAGTAGAGATGGGGTTTCACCATGTTGGCCAGGCTGGTCTCGAACTCCTGACCTCAGATGATTTGCCTGCCTCAGCCTCCCAAAGTGCGGGGATTACAGGCGTGAACCACCGCGCCCAGCCAAGGCAGTCCTTTGAGACCCCAAACGCAGTCCAAAGACCAGCAGCATTGCTACCGCTTGTTGGGAATGCAGAATCTCAGCCCCTCCCCAGGCATTCCCGGGTGAATCAGACTCCGATGTGCACACGAATCCCCTGGGGATCGTGTTTAACTGTAAAGTTCCAAAGGCACTCATCTAAACAGCACTGTGAGGAAGCAGTGGCCTCATTCTCATTTCACACATGGGGAAAGCGAGGCAGGGAGGCTAAATAACTTGCTTGAGGTCACACAGACACCAAGCAGTCCTGTAGCCCAGATTCCAACACACGGTCTACCATGAAATCATTCCCTTACACTGTGGGTTGCCATGGCAGGTGATGAGCACCCTGTCGCGAGAGGTGGGTGAGCGGCCGGTGGACGCTCATTTGTCAGAGACTCAGCAGCAGGCCCTCCTGCCCTGGCAGGGAGGTGGTGACCCCAATAGCCGTCAAGTACTGAGCATCTGGGTGCCAGGCATGGGTCAGGCCTGTTACTCAGGTTCTTTCCATCAACAGGCACGTGGTTCAGCGGCCTTCAGAGCCTCGCTTTGCAGGGGATGAACCTCGAGGTCCAGGGAGGTGAGGTGCCTAGACCAGGTCCCTCTGGGAGGAGGAGCCAGGCGCTCATCCCTGAGCTGCGGCAGGTTCCGAATGGCCCTTCTGTTCCCCGCTCCCCTCCAACCCTGCCCAGATGCCTCCTCCTCAGCCGGTGCCCAGAGAAGGCGGAGGCTATTTAAATCCCTCAGGTGTGGCTGCGGTTGTCTCTGCCCAACCAGCTGGCATTTCCTTCTCAGCGCCCACCTCCTCCCCAAGCCAGAGAAAAGCACGTGCAAGTGCCATTTGGTGAAAACATCTGTCCTCCTGGGAAGCAGCCCCCACTGTGTGTGTTGGGGGGGACGTGGGGCTGGAATGAGGCTGGATCCTCCCCTTCCCTTTATTTCCTCAAGACCACAGGGAAACTGGCCAAGGCCAGGGAGAGTCTGAGGAGGGACCGTGGTGCTGGAGGGGAAGGAACCCAAGCTGAATGGCTCCAGGGGCTAGACCTTGTCCCAGGCCTGCCACTGTGGCCTTGAGCCTGCCACGTCCCCTCTCTGGGCCTCAGCTTTCTCATCTGATAAATGGGAAAAATAAAGACAGATGTAGGCCAGTCACGGTGGTTCACACCTGTAATCCCAGCACTTTGGGAGGCAGAGGCAGGGGGATCACTTGAGGCCAGGAGTACAAGACCAGTCAAGGCAACACAGCAAGACTTGTCTCTACAAAAAATTAAGAAAACAGAAAATAAAAAAAAGATTAGCCGGGCATGGTGACAAACCTGTGGCTCCAGCTACTTGAGACGCTGAAGCAGGAGGATCGCTTGAGCCCAGGAGTTGAACGCGGCAGTGAGCTATGATTACATCACTGTATTCCAAACTAAGTGACAGAGTGAGACCTTGTCTCAAAAAGAAAAAACTAAAAAGAGGCCAGGCGCAGTGGCTCATGCCTGTAACCTCAGCACTTTGGGAGGCCAGGTGGGCAAATCTCTTGAGCCCAGGAGTTTGAGACAAACCTGGGCGACCTGGTGAAACTCTATTGCTACAAAAAAAAAAAAAAAAAAAAGACAAAAATTATGGCCAGGCACAGTGGCTCACGCCTGTAATCTCAGCACTTTGGGAGGCTGAGGTGGGCGGATCACCTGAGGTCAGGAGTTCGAGACCAGCCTGACCAATATGGTGAAACCCCGTCTCTACTAAAAATACAAAGATTAGCCGGATTAGTGGCGAGCGCCTGTAATCCAAGCTACTTGGGAGGCTGAGGCAGGAGAATCGCTTGAACCCAGGAGGCAGAGGTTGCAGTGAGCCAACACCAGGCCACTGCACTCCAGCCTGGGTGACAGAGTGAGACTCCGTCTCAAAAAAAAAAAAAAAAAAAACACACACACAAATTAGCCAGGCGTGGTAGCACGTGCCTATAGTTACAGCTTCTTGAGAGGCTGAGTTGGGAGGATCACCTGAGCCTGGGAGGTCAAGGTTGCAGTGAACTGAGATTGCGCTACTCTACTTGAAACTGGGCGTGGGTGACAGTGAGACCCTGTCTCAAAAAGAAATGAAGTATTGCAGGTGCTTAGCCATTGCTCTTTGCATCCAGTTTTCCTGATGTCCCTATGAAATGGATACTATGTCCTTATTTTACAGATGAGGAAATCGGGGCTCAAATTTGTCTCTTGCTCCCCAAGGTCAGTCACATGGCTCTCCTCTCCCCAAAGTCCTAAGGCTCTGTCCACAGTAATTAGCCCCACCTCTTTTGTGCCCACTAGGCTCCCAGGTGGAGACTTTCAAAGCTCCCCATGGAGAAAAGGGGAAACCCTTTACTCACGGAAAACATTTGGCTCTAGCCCCTGCCAGCACTCTGGCCACCTGCATGGTCATTCACGATCTGTCCCTGCTGCTGGGTGGATTCCAGCAAGTCCCTCACGTCTCTGAGCCTCAATTTCCCAACACTCAAAAATGTGCCTGCTGCAGGGGAAAGCAAAGAGGGAAATTTCCTTTAGCTCAAAGGGCAAGGACTGTTTTCTTCTCACTTAACAAAGCAAATTCTACGTTCAAAGTCAGATTTATGGAAGAGAGAATGGGGGACTTGCTCAATTATTTTTTAAAAATAGGTATATATAATCTCTCTCGCTCGCTCTCTTTTTCTGGTCCTAGCCCTTTCTTATATTTCACCACTGTTTGGAATATCCTGCAAACTGCCTCCAATTCTGTGTGGAAGGAAATAGGGGTGTAAAGTGAAAATCACTCCACTTAATTGGCTGTCTCTCACCGGGCAGGGGCCTGGAAGGAAAGCTATGTCCCGGGCTTCCGGGGCTCCCTAGAGCTTCCTCTAGGCCGCCAAGTCTTCCTCTGGCCTAGGCGAGTGGACGCTCCCCCGTGGAAGGAATGACCTCTTCCCAGGCAGCCCCTGAGGTCCCGCCCGCCCGGAGGCGCGGACGAGTCCATTTCCTAACCGAGTGCGGGGTGGGCCCAGCCTTCCTCTCCCTGCGGTTCCACCCCAGGTGTTCGGGAAGCTCTTTCCCCAGCTCAATATATTTTGAGTGACAGGAGGCAGGGGCAGCGGGCCGCATTTTACTGACACACCAAGGTTATAAACACCAAGGTTCAAAACCTCTCTTCCCGTTTTAGTTACAAACACATTTACTGAAGACCAGCTGGGCACCAGGCGCCTTGAGGGTTGAACTTAGGTGCAGCCTCCAGGGGCCTTTCTGGTGCTGTGGGAGGTGGGTGCCTGTGCACGGACTGGACCGCACAGAGGAAAAATGGCAATCACTGTCTGTTGGAGGGAGTCCCTGGGAGGACTGCTCTTAAAGAAGGCTTTAGGGCAAATGATGCTCTAGTGGGCTTTGGAGGGTGTGTAGGAGCTTGCCTCGGAGACAAAACCTTGGGGAAGAGAAGAGAGTCCCCAGTAGAAGGTACTAATTGCACAAAGGCGAGGAGATAAGACGTGGCCTGCCCCCCCGCCCCTCAGTGCCTTTTACTTGTACCATTCATTATTATTTATTATTATTATTATTTTCAGACGGAGTCTCACTCTCTCACCCAGGCTGGAGTGCAGTGGTGCGATCTCAGTTTACTGCAACCTCCACCTCCCGGGTTCAAGCGATTCTCCTGCCTCAGCCTCCGGAGTAGCTGGGATTACAGGCGCCTGCCACCACGCCCGGCTAATTTTTGGATTTTTAGTAGAGACAGGGTTTCACCATGTTGGTCAGGCGGGTCTCTTAAGTCCTTACATCAGGTGATCCACCTGCCTCGGCCTCCCAAAGTGCTGGGATTACAGGCGTGAGCCACCGCGCCCGGCCTGTAGAGGCCAAGGAAGGGAAGAAGGAAAAGATGAGCATTAAGGTTAGACAGATGAGTTAGGCCCTCAAACTCCACCACCTAAGAGCTATCTGAATTTAGACTAGCTAATCTCTCCAAGTTATAGTGTTCACATCATTAACCTGGGTATAAACCAAGTACCGACCTCATACAATAGTTATCCGGGTTAAAGTTAGCTAAATATCTAAAGCGATTTGCAAGATATAAACCACGCAATGCACGTCACCTCAGCTCCTTGCTTCCCTTCACAGGCAACTGAGGCCCAAAGAGGGTCTGCCAGAGCAGAGAGGGGCAAAAACAGACAACTCCAGGGTTTCAGATGGTGACCTCTCCCTCACTGGTTTATTCCTGAAGATGTGAGACTTCTAGGGCCTGGAAGTCTTCTGTGTCTTGATCATGGTGGTGGTAACACGAGTTTTATGAGTATGTCTGAAAAATTAATCGAGCTGTACCTTTTTTTTTCTTTTTAAGAGACAGGGTCTCGCCTTGTTGCTCAGGCTGGAGGAGGAGTGCAGTGACAGGAATGATAGCTCACTGCAGCCTCGAACTCCTGGGCTCAAGCCATTCTCCCGGCTCGGCCTCCCGAGTAGCTGGGACTACAGGTGCACGCCATTACACTGTTATTTTTTTCTAAAAGACAGGGTCTCGCTATGTTGCCCAGGCTGGTCTCGAACTCCTGGGCTCAAGTGAGCCTCCCGCCTCGGCCTCCCAAAGTGCTGGATTACAGGCGTGCGCCACCGCGCCCCGCAGAGCTGTACTTTTAAGATGTTCGCTGTACTATTTGTAAGTTACACCTCAATTAAAAAGAAAAGCATAATAACCCGGGCCGCGACGCCCCCACCCCTCGCCGCTGGCGACAGGTGTCTCTCGGTGACCAAAACGCGGCTCTCAGCGCGCGGAGTCGTGCGCCTCGCGGAGGCCCTGGCGAGGTTCCTACGGCAACCGCAAGCCGCTCGCAGCGTCTCCAGAGTGACGAGGCGCGAACGAAGACCCGGAGCCCGGATTCAGGAGTCACAGAGCGAGGCTGGAGAGAGACCGCGGCTGGCCAAACGAGGAGGGGAGAGGCTGGGCCACCCTTCGTCCTTGCGCTGGCATTCCGAGGACTTCCGGCAAACACCACTCCCCAGCCCTGACGGTGGCCACAAGCCGCTGCTTGAAAACACCCCTGGGGATTCATTCTCAGCTTTCCAGGTGGGAAGATGGAGGGCCTGGCTGCCCCCCCAGTAACTCGGGGCTCATCAGGGGCAGAGCTAGGCCCTGCACCCGGTGGCCTCCTTCCAAGTTCGTGCAGTGCAGCCAAGTGCCAGGCACTGGGGCTGGGTGCTGGCACCCCCTTGGGTTATGGGTCCAGCTCTGCTAGTAACTTACTGTGTGGTCGTGGAGTTCTCTCTCCTCTCTGAGACTCAGACATGGGGACACCTCCACCAGTATCTCAGAGTAGCTGTTACCAAGCGTGTGAAATAATGGAGTGTGAAAGCGGCTCACCAACTGGAACGTGCCTTGCGCATGCCACAGACCATCACAGTTGCCACCCAATTGCCATCTTGTCCTCTTTATCGCCCCAGCCCCTGGGGCTCAGAAATCTCTGTGCCCAGAAGTTTCAAGTCTGCGGGTGAGAGTCTACTCCACTTTCCCCTTCGAGAAGTGGGTCCAGGGCAGCTCTCCTGAGCACCAGTCATCATCTAGTCCCCAGACTTAAAGGGGTTCAGAGAGACACAACCCTTCATCCACCTGCCTGCCACCTCCTCCTTACCCTCTGCCCTGTGGTTGTAGAAGTTCCCCACTAAGTAAGGATTTCTGGAAACCCTAAGACACAGCACCCCAGACAGAGTCTACTGGGTAACACAACTGATTGCCCTTTAGATGCCACAGGCTGGGCATGTGTTTGGACAGTTGTGTGTATCTGTGAATATGTGTGTCCATGTGCTGTGAGGGTATATGTACACTGGTGTGTGTGTGTGTCCGTGTGCCTGGCATGCATATATTGGTGTACGTGTGTATTTGGGATGGGTGTGTGAATATGTGGATATAAAAGCATGTCTTTGCGGCTCCATGGTGTGTGTGTGCAGGTGGATGTTGTGTAGTTGTGGCAGACGTTTACCCGTGCATCTGATGCAGCTTTGCTGATGTGTGTGTACCCCTCGGTGGGCATGCGTGGGACTGTATTTGTGGTGTGTACAGTGGATGTGGAGAACTGTGATAACCTGTAATTGTGTATGTGTGGGAGTGTGCTGGGGGGTCTTGGGTGCGGGGGTTCTGCTCCCCCCTCTCCTATCACCTGAGTGACCTTCTTCCCTAGCTGAGGACTGTGACTGAGATCACAGGCATGCATGGGACAGCTCCTGCCCTTCCACAGACCTGTGGCTGCCCAGGTCTTGGGCCAGGGTGGGCACCAGGGGCCAGGGTGGGTGGGTGAGCCTAGGGCGAACACTCATGTGCCACCCCCTCCCTGCCTGGTCTCCTCCCCTCCCCACAGCAGGAGCAGCAGCGGGAAAGGTTGGCGGAGGGGGGCTATTTTGGGAGCGTCTCCTTAGCAACAGCTGCCACGGCCGTCTGTGGCGGTTTTTCTATAGGTGCTAAAATATTCCACCCTGGTGACTACTGAGTGCTGGGGGGTGGGCGAGGGTGGAGGTGGAGGGCAGGAGAGACCCCTACAGTCCTCTGTCCCCAGGGCACAGCCTGCTGGGATGGGTTCTGGGCCTCTGGCCCCCCAGTGTCCCTTTAATCACCTCTGGACCTCACCCCCTGGAAGCTCCTGGGACTTTAGAGCTCCGAGGCAGGCCAGCTGTGTCCTGATCTGATTTCTAATCTAAGTATCTGGGCTACCTCAGTTTGCCTCATCTGCAGAATGGGCTGGCTGGACCTTTTTTTTTTTTTTTTTTTTTTTTTTTGAGATGGAGTCTTGCTCTGTAGCCCAGGCTGGAGTGCAGTGGCGCGATCTCAGCTCACTGCAACCTCTGCCTCCCGGGTTCAAGTGATTCTCCTGCCTTCGCCTCCCGAGTAGCTTGGATTACAGATGCGCACCACAGTGCCTGGCTAATTTTTGTATTTTTAGTAGAGTCGAGGTTTCACCATGTTAGCCAGGCTGGCCTCAAACACCTGACCTCAAGTGATCTGCCCGCCTCGGCCTCACAAAGTGCTGGGATTACAGGCGTGAGCCACCGCGCCCGGCCCTGGCTGAACTTTAAGACACTCTCTAGGACAAAAACCTCTGGCCTCTGTGACTCTAGCATTTTGAAGTGGCCTTTTCCGTCTCCTCCCCAGCTGTCCACCTGCCTGGCCCAAGTTGCCCTCCCTTCCACTCCTCTCAGCCCTCTACACAGGCTCTCAGGGCCCCTGTAGGACCCAGGAGGTGTGAGCAGGACCCCACAGTAAATCGGTTAGTGAGTGCTCTGCTAGCCTGGAATGACCTTTCCCCAGAAAGTGGAAGTTGAGCCTGGTTCAAATCCTGGCCCAGACAGTTGCTTACTGCCTGACCCCAGACAAGCCACTTCCCCTCTCTGTGTGTCAGTTCAGAGTCCTCACCTGTGAGGTAAAGACAGGCATAGCCCGTACCCCACGGAGATCTTGTGAGGATCAAAGGAGAGAATGGAGAATGGAGATGGCCAGGACGTTTTACCAAAGTGTATGGTGGACAGAGGTTTTACAAGCATTCTCCTCCAAACTTCAGAGCGAACCTCCTTCCTCCAGACCATTGTTCCTGGCCACACCGGCCCTGCCACTCATGGCATTACTGCCCGTGCCTCAGTTTCCCCATTGGTAACAGGTGCCTGGAGAATTCTTGCAAGAATCAAAGGAGACAATCCCTGCGAAGGTCTGGATAGTGCTGAGCTAGGGGTACGAGTGCAGGGGAAGCAGGTTGTCCTCATTCCGTCTGGTGGGGGGGCGCATCTGTGGTGGATCATGACAAAGCCCACTTACCCTTGGGAGACCTAGTCCACACTGTCCCACTACAGACGAGGCCTCTGAGGTCCAGAGAGGACACGCATCTTGCCCAGGGTCACACAGGTTCTGACACCCAAGACTTTTCTCAACTCCCTCACACTGCCCCCAGGCCTCTGCATGCCCATTTCCATCTCTGCCCCCAACCTCACACAGGGCTAGAGGCTACTCACACGGAAGGTGAACAATGTGAAGTCTTCCTTTAGTCTTTGATTATCCTCAAAACAGCTGCTCGACCACGTGCGGTGGTTCACACCTGTAATCCTAGCACTTTGGGAGGCCAAGGAAGGTGGATCGCTTGAACTCAAGAGTTTGAGACTAGCCTGGACAACATGACAAAACCCCATCTCTACAAAAAATACAAAAATTAGCCTGGCATGGTGGCACATGCCTGTGGTCCCAGCTACTCGGGAGGCTGAGGTAGGAGGATGGCTTAAGCCCAGGAGGCGGAGGTTGCAGTGAGCTGAGATTGCGCCACTGCACTCCAGCCTGGGCAACAGAGCCAGATCCTATCTAAAAACAGCAACAACAACAAACACACACACACACACACACACACACACACACACACACACACACACCCCGAAGCTCAAAGTGGGTATTATAGTTCTCATTTTACATATGAGGAAACAAAGGCCCAGAGAGGAGAGTTGAGCTGCCCAGGGTCACACAGGGCTGGAGAGGAGAGAAAGGGCTCTTTCCTGGGGCCTCCGAACCTCTCCCTGCCTGGAGCTCCTCTGCTTGCCTCTCCCTACCTCCTCCCAGTCCAGTCTCCTTGCAGGATGAACAGCAGCCCCAGGGTGCGGCCCAGGCCCGGCAAGCTAACCCTCCTTGCCCCAGAGCCCCCATCCCATCTTCAAGTTTGTGCCCAGGGACTTGGCATCAGGAGACTGATTCTGTGACAGTAGATGCTTTGGATCTACAGACATCTCTGTCTGCATTTTCCCCTCCTTCCTGCCCCTTCCTCCTCTCCCTGCACCCCACACTCCCAGGATGGCTACCAGGTCAGGCCCGTGGCCAGGCAGGTCATTTGTCTCACCCTCATCCTCCCACTTTCCATCCACAGAAAAGGTGAAAAAGACCAGGCACACATCTCTTGCCCACAGGGCACTCAGGCTGCTTGAGTCTCCCCTGCATCCACGCACTGAGCATTCATGTGATGGAACATCAGTCCTGGCTGTCTGCCTGTGAGGACACAGCAGGGTAACCAGGGAGAGGCGTGGAACAGGACGTGCGTTCTGGAGGTCTGCACAGTCGGAGAGAGCCGTGAGAAAGGATGGCCACATTTATTGAGCGCCTACCATGATCTGTGTATTTCTTGTGCATCCACCTCACTTAATCTACCCCTTGGGAATGGAGGACGTTAGGGTCCTCAATTTACAGACAGATTAAATAAAAACTTGTTCAAGGTCAAGTAGCTCCTAGGTGCTTTTGAGCCTAGGTTAGCCTGACTCCTCATCCCACTAAGCAAGAACCATACTTGTGCCCCGCCCAGGGGCTGGTATGTGGTGGGTGCCTAGTGCTGGTTGAATGAATGAGTGGGTGATAAATGACTTCTGCTGGGGTCATCAGGAGGCCTTCTCAAGGAAGTGGCACTGAGGCTGGGCTTGGGGAACAGCAGGAATTCTCTGGGCAAAAAAGGTGGAAGGATATCTTAGTGAGGAGGAACAGTGCGTGCAGGCAGAGAGGTGTGGAGGCCTGTGGCGTGTTCTGGAATCTGTGGAATCAGGGTGTACCTGTGGATTTATGGGATGTGGGATGCCGGATAAGGTGGGGCCTGACTATACCACACTGAGGAGTTGGGACTGAATCCTTTTGAGTAGGGAGAGCCCACGAGGAAGGGAAACACTTGTGGTGGTTTGTGTGTTGCTGTTCTTATGCTGACATCCTCGAGGCTCAGGAGAGCCAGAGGGGATTTCAGATTTCATCAGTTCTCCACCTGGCTTTGGGGTGCCTCGGTCTCTCCCTCTCTGTAATGGGGCTAGTCGGTGATGGCCAGACTCCCAGGGAAGTTTTGCTGGCTGTCTAACTGCAGGTGTTCTCTCGTCCTACCACCCTGGAAGGAGGAGCACTTTCCCTCCTGTCTCCTCGGAGGGCTAGAGTGACGTGGCAGGATGGTCAGGATGTAGCTGGCTAGACAGGTGCTGTGGGTGCTGGGGGTTCCCTGACACCCCAGAGTGTGGGGCCCAGGCCTGACAGCTTGGGGTAATGGAGAGCGACAGAGAATAAGAGACTAGGGTTTGGCCTGGCTTTGTCATCTCTGGGTGACCTTGGCCGAGTTTCTGACCCTCTCTGGTACCCAGTCTCGCCATCTGTAAAATGGGGCAGTGGTGACTGAGTGATCGCGAGGGTCCCTCCAATAGGGCCCCCTCAGACTCCCAGAGTGAGGTGCTTCGGGTCCTTGACCGGCGGTACTTTGGGAGAGTACGAGGACCGCTAAGGAGAGGGGCGGACTCCGTGGGACCCCAGAGGGACCAGCTCCCACCCACCCCCCTTCCCGGCTCGGAGGAACCCTCTCCACCTGCCCCCTTTTGGGGGGGGGGCACAAAACCCGGGAGCGGATCCAGGAACGGGTTCTGGGAGGAGCGCTCCTGGGGCGAGGAGGAAAACCCGGGCAGGATCCAGGGCAGGAGCGGGGCCAGCAGCCCCCCGCCCCAGCCCCTGCTCCGCGCCGCGGGCCCCGCGGGAGGGGGCTTGAGGCCGGGTTAGGCCGAGGGGCGGGCAGGGCGGGGTCCCGCGGGCAGCCGGGGCTCCCGGGCTGGGGGGCGCGCGGCCTCCGCAGTGGGGCGCGGGTCACGTGTGAGGAGGGGCGAAAGTCTCGCAAAGCGGGGCGGCGTGCCGCGAGTTGGGAGTTCTCGGCGCGCCGCGGGCGGCGGGAGCTCGGGCTCCCGGGCGAGCCGGGGACGCGGCCAAGGCGGGGGCCGGGGTCCGAGACAGAGGGGGCCGCACGGAGAGTGGGAGGGGGAGAGACAGAGAAGGACAGGGGCCGCGAGGGAGACGGACAGAGACGCGCAGGGGAGAGAGGCAGCGCGGGCAGAGGGAGGCGGGGGGAGGCCGGCGGGCGACCGCGACGGAGACGGAGACCCCGCGGGCAGAGGGCGAGCGGGGCCGCAGGAGGCAGGGAGGCCGGGAGAGGGACCGGGACGCGAGCGCGGCGGAGACCCCGGCGGCAGGAGAGAGACGCGAGAGCGGTCGGGGAGGTGGCGACAGAGCCCGGCCGGCGGGGGCGGGGAGGGCGACCCCAGGCCGGGAGGCCGAGGGGTCGCGGGGCCGGGGCCGAGCGCAGCGGGGCCGGGAGTGGAGCGCAGGGCCGGGGGCAGAGCGCGCGAGCAGGAGCGGGTGACAGCGAGGGAGCTGGGCGCAGCGGGGGACGGCGGCGGGGAGGGCGCCTGCAGCGGGGGTGGGGGGCGCGGGCGGCGGGGCGCCCCGGGCCCCCGGACCCCCGCGCTGTGAGCCCGGCCGGGCCCGACGATGCTGACGCCGAGGCGGCGCCGAGGGCGCGGCGCGGGGCAGCGCTGAAAGTTGGGCGGCCCGCGGGGAGCGGCGCGGGACGGCCGGGACGCGCGGAGACCCCAAGACCCACGCGCAGACCGAGCGGCAGCCGGGGAGGGGAGCGCGGGCCGGCCGGCCGAGTTCGCGGGCAGGGGGCGCCGGGACTCCCCTTTCCGCGCCCGGGACGCCGCCCGCCGGATCGCGCCTTGGGATGTAGCGCCCGCTCGCCGCCTCCCGGACTCTCGTCGGACCCTCCGCCCAGCGGTAAGCCGCGCTCGCCCACCCCGGGCGCTGTCCGTCAGTTTGTCCCGCCGCGTGCGTGTCTGTGTGTCCCGGGCCCGCCGCTCCGGCCCCGCCCGCTCCGCACCTGATCCGGAGCCGGGTCCCGGCTGCCCGGCGCCGCGCGCGCGGTCCCGTGACTCCCCGGGAGCGGGCGGGCTCCACGGGCGGGCTCTGTCCGTCTGTCCGTCTGGGAGCGTCGCGGTCTGGGTTGTGGCCTGGAAAGGGGGAGAGAGGTGGGTGGAAGGGGTCTTGACCTCCTGCCCCAGCCATGACCTTTCCCTGCCTCCACCCACCCCAGTTGTCATGCCGGGGAGCTTCAAGGCAGGTGACTTGTGGCAAGGTGGGGGATGCCGCCTTTCCGCCTCCCCAGCTGCATCCTCGTTGCAAATGGCCCTGTGATCTGAAGAACGAAATCTCACTTCTCATGTTTTGAGCACCTACTTGGCGCCACACGACCCCAGGGCGCAGGGGCAGGGATTGGTAGAGGAGGCACTGCACGTTCACAGTGATAGACACAGGCTGGGGAGGGAGGCAGAGGCTGCTTTTTCCTCCGTGTGTAGGGAGCACCCCAAGGCAAGAGAGGTCTCAATGAGCCTCCCGCAGGGAGAACTTCCCCTGCAACCTGCCAAATGTCCCCCCACCAGTGTCAGCCTCCCTGCCCCCTACCCACATTTCTGCCCCCAGTGTCCCTGCTTCAGGATGGACAGGATGCAGGGAGTTGGGAGGTGGCAAGCTGGGTGGGGTGGAGCGGCGGGCTAGAGGCAGGGCAGCCTGGCCAGCTGACAGAGCAGGGCCTCAAGAGCAGTAGAATGTTCAGCAGCAGGTTTGGGGGAAGTGGGGAACTCAGGGAGGGAGGCCCAGAGAAGGGTTGGAGCCGTGTGTGTGTGTGTTCTCCCCCACATCCAGTCCCATGACCTCCATGGCTTCAGGCCTTTTGGGGGCAGTTAGCAGGACTTTAGGGGCCCAAGAGCCTCACTGTGGCCCTGGCTTGGCCTGTGCTGAGGGGAGCAAAAGGTGGACCAGGGCAGCTGGGGTAAGAGATGGGTGCAGCATGGTGGGAACAGAGACTGTTGGCCACTGAACTGACCCATATCCCAACTGGAGTTGGAAGGGCTGAGCCTAGAACATTCCACTCCATTCTCACTGGGAGGAGGGACTCTTTCTGGGGTGTTCCACACTGGGCAGTGGGTCTCATATGTCCTCCATTCAGCCTCCCAGAAATTAGCTCAGGTGGCTGGGAGAGCAGCCCCCTGGGCTGGTCACTCTCCTCCCAACCGTCATCTTCCACATCTGTGGCATGGGGACGTCACTCCCTGCCCCAGTGACCTCCAAGGCGGGCCCTGGGCTCAATGAGCAGTGGGCTGTTCACAGGCTGGGGAAAGCACTGGGGAGATGGGAGTAAAGACTCACTTTACCTTAAGAGAGATGAACAGCTAGTGGGTGGAGGTGGGCGTGGGGCAGTGGGAATATGGCGGAAATAGCTGACGAAGGAGGAGTGTCCAGGATTAGAGGGGGAATCTGGGGTACAATTCCTCATGGCCCTTTGGGTTATCCTTGAAAAGAAAGCTCTTCTCTCAGAAAATCCTCTGGAGTGGCTGTGACCAGGCAGAGCTGGTTGAGTTTCTGCTGGGTGACCTTGGGTGGGTGGCTTGACCTCTCTGAACCTCAGTTTCTTCAACTGGAGAATAGGTATGATGATACTGACTTCATCAGGGTGTTGAGCAGTTTCCAGACTGTGTCAGGTCTGTGAAAGCCGCGTGCGCCAGCCTGGAGCATAGTAGGTTCGTAGACATTTGCGAAAGAGAGAATGAAGTAGCTCTGGGAGATGCTGTGAGAAGATGTCTTAGCTTAGGATAAGAAGGAAGGGGAGGAGGAACAGTGTAGGCTTACAGGGCGGGCTGGTTCTTAATGTGGATCTGGGGGAGGCGGGGGCGAGTGCTAAGGGGGGTGTGAGGAGGAGGGGGCCCCTCTGCGGGGACCACTGAGTCACGAGGACATGTAAGCGACATGACAACCGGCAACATGGTAACCAGGAAACTAGCGGCGGTGGGAAACAGAGCTGGAGCAGTGTGGGGTGGGGGTGGCGGGTAGGCCTGGCAGTGCCGGGCTCAAGGGGTCCGGGGAGAAGCCAGGCTGGCCCCTCAGAGTGAGGAGGGGAGGCCCCAGGGCCAGGCTAGCTGGGGAAGAGATGGGGGCCCTGAGGGGAGGGAGGGGAGGCACCTCGGGGCTGTAGGGCAGGGGGCTCCTCCTGCACCACCCCAGGCTCCTCTCTGCTCCTCCACATCTCCACTTTTCATGCCTCTCCCCCTAGGATGCCAAATTTGGCTCACGCAATCTGTCGTCTCTCTTCTGAGATTGGCACCGGGACGAAAGCCGAGTGCATTACATCACCACCGCCGCCGCTCCCCCTGCACGAGGAGAGCAGTAGGGGAGGGCCAGAGGGCCGGGGGCAAGTGGCCAGCCCTCAACTTTCTTTCCTGTCTTCCTGCTCACTCTTCCCATCTCAGCCCTAGATGCTCGGGGGCTTCTGGGGGCAGCGGCTAGAGGCAGGACGTGGGCTCCAGTCTTGGGGAGATCCCAGGACCAGGGCAGAAAGTCAGGTCATGTTGCCAGCCCCCTGTCTGGGTGGAGCCTGGGGGCAGGGAGGCTTGGTTCAGGACCCTGGTCTGTCAGTGCCTTGCTCTGTGACCTTGGGCAGCCCCTTGCCTCATGTGGAGTCCACATCTGTATAGAGAACGGCTGGCCACTTAAGATCTTGGCGATTCTCCTGAAAGAAGGTGCCCTTAAGTTCTGCGGCTCTCCTGGGCCCAGAGGAGGGAGCCCTGGATTTCAAATCACCCTCTGTGACCTTGAGCAATTGGCTTCAATGCCTCATGCCTCCATCTCCCCACCTGTAAAATGGGGATGACAGAATCCTCAAAGGCAACAGCTATGAAAGCAGGAGACAGGAGTAGAGATAAGGCCTCTGACTCTGAAACCATAGACACTCAGGGGCCCGTGGATCCAGCATGCTGGGCAGGGGTTGGACAGGGTAGAGTGGGAGGGTGCCTGGATTCAGACAGAAGGTTTGGAGCTTAAATCACTGGTCTGATGCCTTCGTTTTACAAAAGTGGAAACTGAGGCCTGAGGGGGAAGTAGACCCATCAGGGTCACAGTGATGGTTTGTGGGCGGAGGAAGCAGAGCCAGGGCCATTGTTTTACAAAAGTGGAAACTGAGGCCTGAGGGGGAAGTGGACCCATGAGGGTCACAGTGATGGTTTGGGGGTGGAGGAAGCAGGGCCAGGGCCTGAATCCAGGGCTTCTGGCTCCCAGCTCTATCTGGAAGCAGACAGACAGATGTCCCTGTGTAACACTGTGGCAAGCCCAGACAGGACCCAGGAGCTTTGAGGGCCCAGCTCTGAATTCGGCCACCTCCTTTCTCCCTCCCTTCTCTCCAGATCCCCTCACCCCACTGTCCTTGGGCACTAATCCCCTCCCTCTATTGGTCTCTTTGAAGAACTCCTTTCAGTCTCATTTTAAAGCCAGTTTCAGGCAGTCCCAGGCAAGGACAGGTTGGATTTGGGGTTAACTGGAAGCTTATGCTCCATTCTAGAAAATTCCCAGAGCTGGAGGTGGAGCAAGATAGGGAGCAGCTGTGGTTGTTTTGTGAGATAGTGGGCTCCTCAATCCTAGAGGTATTCAAGCAGAGCCAGATGAGCACCTGCCAGGTGACTCTCGCCTTACGGGTGAGGCCGAATAACATCCCCACTTCCAAAATCCTAGGAGTCTTTGGTGTTTCCCAAAGAGGAGCTGGGAAGCAGTGCCCATCGCTTCCCCGCTTCCCAGCGAGGAAACACATTTGCTCGCCAGGCACTGGGCTAGGAGCTTTTGCAAATTCCCATTTAATTCTCCATGGCAATGTTGATTTGATGTCCCCGTGTTATAGATGGAAGGGCCATGGCTCAGAGAATCTATGTGATTTGTCCAGGGTCACACAGTAAGACAGCAGAGGAGCCTGGGTGTGAGTTCAGACTAGTCTGATTCTCGGGGGCTGTCTCTGGGGCTTCCCTGGGGAAAGAGTGGAAAACGTTCCTCCCTGGGGCTGGGGCTTGGCAGGAGATGGTCTAGACGCCCCCACAGCGTGACACCCCCTCAGGGATCCTCTGGCTCCTCTGGGGGCTCCATTCTGAAGACAGATACCACCATGCATCTTAGGGGAGAACTCATTTCATAGATGGGAAGACTGAGGCCCAGAGACAAGGAATGACCTGCCCGAAGGTGCCCAGAGAGTTAGATTAGGGCCAGGCTGCCTGTCTCCTGGCCCAGGGCTCTGTCCCCTGTGCCAGTGAGTGAGGAGGGGCCTTTGGGCTGACGGTGGTGGCATGAGGTGTGAGGTCGGGAATGCAGAGGGCTGAGAGAGGGCTGGCTCCAAGCTAGGGCTGCAGGAGGAAAGTTATCGGCGCAGGGAGAGGGGAGCAGAAGGGAAATGGCACATGTGCTACAGAGCCTGGTGAGGTCAGTGGGACCTGGCTGGCAGGAGAGGGTCTTGGAGACAACTTCCTTGGGTGGCTCTCTGTGTGACCTTAGGTCAGTCCCTCACCCTCTCCGAGTGATGTCCACCCATCCATGTGAACCTGGGCTGAAAGATCTATTTCCACCGAGTAGCTGTGGTTGGGCTGCTGTCGAAAAGCGCTCCTCCCAACGATGGGAGGACTGTGGGTCCTGGCAAGGGGCAGGCGGGAATCCTAGGGGTTGGCATAACCTTTAAGCCTCCTCTGCGGACTCAGCCCTCCTTGGGGTGTGGGGGATCGCCAGTCACAGCCCTTCTTCTCCTTTTCATCTTTATTTTTCTCCTGTTCCCTCTTCCCCTCGCTACGTGGGCTGATCGCTGCTCAAACTTTTAATTCAGATGGTAATTGAAATAATAATATGGGCTGAGGCCCCTCTGCTTGTGACGCTGCAGCTGGTGGAGCTCGGCTATGAATAGACCTTGAGTCACACACGCGCGCTCCTGCAGGCGCGCACACGGGCGCTCACGGGGTGGTGGGTGGGGTGCAGCATGGGGAGCAGGGGTGAGCTCACGCTCTGGCTTGCTCTGGTCTTGGCCCCCCACTCCCAAAGGTCTTGACCAATCCTGGCCCCGTGGCCCAACACGGGGTCCCTGTCGTGAACCTGGAAGACTTTGGACATAGATGATTCTCATTTACAGAAGGGGAAACTGAGGCTCAGCAAGGGGAAGTGGCTGGCTGGAAACAGGCTGGATTTGAATGGATGGGTTTTGCCTGATTCTAAGACCACTGTTCTCTGTTGGGACACACAGGGTGGGAAACCGGTGGGGAGGAGTGCTGGCGTGTGGCCCCTGCCCCTCCCTCTGCACCCGTTGCCCCACCTGCTCGCAGCCCCCTTTCAGCCTGCGCGTGCATGCTCAGGCACAGACACAGGCACACACGCATGCGCATGCGTGAGGGCTGCTCAGATGGCTGGTGCCGTTGCTTGGTGGCTGGGGTGAGAGCAGTGTTCTCAGGGTATTGCTGCAGGAGGGAAGCTGAGTGCCAGGCTCAGCGCTGGGCTTCATATTCATGATTTCACTTAATCCTCCACCACCCTGGGAGAACCATCACCCCCACTTCTCAGATGAGAATACTGAGGCTCAGAGAGAAGCAAGGATTGGTTCCAGGCTCCTGGGTGGAAACAGCCACAGATGCTTTGTCCTACTGTGCACCCAGTGCCAGCCCCTCCAGGACCCTCATTGGCCACCTGAAGGGAGGTGGGTACATGTCTGCCAGCCTAGGCCTCCCCTTTCCTTCCATGCAACAGCTCAGCCACTCCTCCCTGTGGCTGCTGGCCAGTCCCTGACCAGCCCTGGTGCCAACAGCTGGGACGTCTGGCCTTGGCAGGCAGGGGAGGGTGAGGTGCCCCAGAGAGACATTGGCAGGTCAAGAGGTCCTTAGGGGCTACCAGGAAAGGGGGTCCTTGGTGTTCCCGACCCCAGCAGGAGCTGTGGAGGGAGAAGTCAGCGTTGTAATGGTGACCTGTCAGCTGGGAGCTTTGGTCTAGGCCTGGGGGGCCCCCAGCAGGGCAGAGGGGAGCTGGGGCATGGGAGGTGCAGTTGGGCGGAGGAGCTCCCTGGGACTGGGATGGAGGAGAAGCCCCCACCAAGCCTGGCCCAGCAGCTCCTGTCTGCGGCTGCATTGGCCTTCTCTCCATTTCCTCTCCTGGGAGATGGAGAAACCGAGTCCGGAGACCACCAGGGTTTGCCCAGGGTCACTCAGCAATGGTGGCAGAGCCTCTCAACCCGGAGCTGCTCCTGACTCCTCTGTGTCCTGATGGCTCCCAGGGCTGCCGGCCCCTCCTCTCTCACTGACACTCCCCAGAGCTGTGGGGTCTGTGGGAGGCGAGCAGGGTCTGGGTCTCTTTAAGCTCCTTCTCCCCAGAAAATCCCCAGATCGGAGCGAGGGGAAGGGCAGCACTCCCTGGTCACAGCAGTAGGAAGGGTGGCCTGCGTCAGGGGCCTGGGATCGAATCCCAGCTCAGCCCCTCACTGGCTCCGCATGACCTTGACTAGGCCACTGTCCATCTGGGGGCCTCTCTTTGCCCCTCTGTGTATCGGGGGCCACCCATGGGGATGGTGGGGCGTGCTCAGCCTTTTCCTGTTTTGCCTGTCCTGGGAGAAGCTCACACACCAGCGACCCGGGCTGCAGGGATGGGAGGGTTCCTTTTTTTTTTTTTTTTTTTTAAGACGGAGTTTCGCTCTTGTCACCCAGGCTGGAATGCAATGGCACAATCTCAGCTCAGTGCAACCTCTGCCTCCCGGGTTCAAGCGATTCTCCTGCCTCAGCCTTCCAAGTAGCTGGGACTACAGGCATGCGCCACCATGCCCGGCTACTTTTTTCTTTTCTTTTCTTTTCTTTTTTTTTTTTTTTGAGAGTCTCACTGTGTCTCTCAGGCTGGAGTGCAGTGGTGCAATCTCGGCTCACTGCAACCTCCCCCTCCCAGATTCAAGTGATTCTTCCGCCTCAGCCTCCCGAGTAGCTGGGACTACAGGCGTGTGCCACCACGTCTGGCTAATTTTTGTATTTTTAGTAGAGACGAAGTTTCACCATGTTGGTCAGGCTGGTCTTGAACTCCTGACCTTGTGATCCGCCTGCCTCAGCCTCCCAAAGTGCTGGGATTACAGGGGTGAGCCACTGCACCCGGACGGGAGGGTTCTTTAGCTGGGCCACAGGAGAGGGTGCATGTGCTGTGGGGAGCTGACCCCATTTTACTGATGGGGAGATTCAGGCCTAGGGGAGGGGTGTGCCCATCTTCAAGTTGGTGGCAGAGTTGGCCCCTGGGACACCTCAGTGAAGCTTCCCCCAACCCCCTGCAGCTCCTCTCCCAGCCCCCACCCTAGACTCCCCCAGGAGCCTCCCCTCTCCTCATAGGCCTGAGAAGCCCAGGACCCTCTGCCCTGTGAGTGTGAAGGTACCACTCAGCCTGGGAGACAAATGGGATGGGGTCCGCAATTAGGGGCTCCTTGGGGCCATACAGGGGAGGTGGTGGGCACAGGCTGGAGAGGCCCTGGCTGGGGGTGAAATGGAGCAGGCAGAGGGGCTTTGGGCATCCTTCAAACCTCGTGCCCATGGATACCCTTCTGCAGTTATCCTGAGAAATGGGCCTCAAGTCCCTCCTCACTGTTCCTCACGGGGAGCTCCCCATCTCCGGGGAAGCCCACTCGTGTCTGGAAGGTTCTGCTAATTGATCCCTGACTCCCTCTTTCCTTCGCCCTGCCCTCTGGGGCAGAGAAACCCAGCCTGCTCTCAGCAAGACAGGAGGAGTGGCCCACCTCCCCCTCCCCTACCCCAAGGCTCCTCCAGCCTCAGTTGTCCCAGGCGAGGCCCGTGACTGGGAAACAGAAGATCTGGGTTCATGTCCAGCTCCACCCCTTAGCAGCTGCGGAATCTGGGGCAGGTTTTTCACCTCTCTGAGCCTTTACCCCCTGCCCCGTAAGGGTGGGCGTTTGCCTCTGTTTCTTTTTTTTTTTTTTTTGAGATGGAGTCTCGCTCTGTTGCCCAAGCTGGAGAGCAGTGGCGCGATCTCAGCTTACTGCAACCTCCGCCTCCCAGTTCAAGCAATTCTCTGGCCTCAGCCTCCCAAGTAGCTAGGACTACAGGTGCGCACCACCATGCTCGGTTAATTTTTGTATTTTTAGTAGAGATGGGGTTTCACTATGTTGGCCAGGCTGGTCTCGAACTCCTGACCCTCATGTGATCCATCCACCTCAGCCTCCCAAAGTGGTGGGATTATAGGTATGAGCCACCGTGCCTGGCCCTTTGCATCTGTTTCTGAGGGTGACTGGGAAGATCCTGTGAGCCTGTGAGTGAATGAATGTATCATAGCTCGTTGATATGAACTACTTTGTGACCCAACCACTCAAGGGCACTGCTGGGCCTGATTTCCAGACCCCCATCACCAGCCACTGCCTTGGGGTACCACTTCTCTGGACAGCTGAGCCTCCCCCGGCCCTCCCTCACCCAGGCCCCCAGAACTGCTTTGGTGGGCAAGGCTGGCTGAGTGCCAGCCCCGCCATGAGGCTTCAGATCCTGAGCCCACCTGACCTTGGAAAGGGCCTCTCTCTGGCTGGGCTCCAAGGCTGCCCCCAACAGACACCCGGCAGTGGCTGGGCAGCAGAGAGAGAGAACTGGGTGGGGCAGAGAGAGGACCACTTGCCAGAGCTGTCCCGGCTCCCTGAGACAACAGGCTAGAGGACAGAGGAGAATGGCCAGCCAGCCACGGGCGGGGCCCCACTTAGCAGCTACATCAGCAGCCCGGCAGAGCTTACTCCTCACAGTCAAGTGGGCTGCCTGAGAAGTGGGTGAGCGCCCTGTCCTGGGAGATGTGTAAGCAACTGCTGAATGGCATCTGTTATCAGGGCAGGAGGGGGCTCTATTAAAAGACCCGGGGAAAAAATTGGAACCAGACCCCAAAGAGTCCCTGTTATTTGGGCTGCAGAGTGGCGGTCCTGTGAGCTGGGGGGTCTAACAGACTTTTCCCAGTATTCCCCCATAACATCCAACAATTCCCCACATGGTTGTGTGTCACAAAGCCCGGAGTCCAAGCACCGCCCGTCACAGCTTCAAGACACACGCCGGATCCCATTTCACCGCTCCTAACCCCCACTCAGGCCAGTGCTTTAAAATTGCACACAGGTCCTGCCCCGTTAGTGGGTTGGGAAATTGACTTAGTGAGTTGCACTACTTGTTTTCCGAAAATGAAATTAAAAAGAAAATTTCAAAATACTATGCATGTAGTGAGGGTAAATATTATTTTGTGACGCTCTTACTTCAGCTTTAAATATATAGCCGGGTGCAGTGGCTCACGCCTGTAATCCCAGCACGTTGGGAGGCCGAGGCGGGAGGATGGCAAGAACCCAGGAGGTTGCAATTGAGCTGTGATCGCATCACTGCACTCCAGCCTGGGCATTGGAGCAAGACTCTGTCTCTAAAAAATAAATATAAAGTAAGTTAAAATAACAAACAGGATGTTTGCTTTTACTACGGATTTTGGTCAAAAAACTTGAAAGCTACTGTCCTGTGTAGAAATCCAGGAGGCGCCCTGATAGAGGTTCTGATGCTCAGGTTCCGATTTCCCTGGATGTTTGGTTCCTAAAGACATAGGTGCCACAACTTCCAGGATGCTGCTGTCCTGCCCTCAGAAGTAGCCGCCTGTCCCTTGCTCAGTGGACCACCCAGGTCCAGGCACCCATGCTCCTCCAGAGCCACCACCTCTCCCCAGGGCCTAGATCCCAGGCCGGGCCAAATTCCCTGCTTTCCGCTCAGCCCAGGCCCAGCCCTGCTCTGTCCTTGTGCCCTCCTGCTTGCCCTCATCTTCCTAGGACCTTCTCTTTATGCCCTTTCACACACACACACGCACACACACGCATGCACGCACACATGCGTGCACGGAGCTCAGCAAAGCCGGTTTGTGACTTACCTGCTTCCCTTCAGCATACAGTAGGTGCTCAATAAATGTTCACTCAATTATTTACAGACCGCCCTCCAAGGCAAGGCACTGCGCTGTGTTGAGACACATCTGGCACCTGGCAGGAAGGCAGATGCTGTTCCAGCTCAGGGGACATTTAGGGTGATGAATGAATGGATGGATGGATGGGGGTCGGCTGGAGTTGGAGATTCTCTGGCCTGAGGAGCCAGTGGGAAGGTGGTCAGCAGTAAAGAGGGGCATGCAGCCCGTGGCCCCCCCCATGGCAGGCGTTCTGTCAGTGACAGTCCCTTGGGGCTGTGGCCCAGCATTGAGTCATGGGCAGGGGCTGACTGTTCCTCCTGCTGTCTCTGGTCCTTCTGAGGCCTGTCTCCCATGCCCTCTCCCACTAGGTCCTGTACACATGTCCCTGCCACCCATCCCTGGGTGAGGCCAGGACATCCTCCCCCGAGCCCCTGACACCTGGGGGACACCTGGGAAGAGAAGCCCATGCTCCGTGGAGGGTGAGGCAGAGGCATGAGCCCTCTGACATCCTGTCCTCTGTCCCCTCTGCTCATGGCCATTGTGCTCATGTACAGTGACACAGAGGGTCTCCTGGTCACTGCTCAGAGGCCACCTCCGCTGGGAAGTTCTCCCTGACTACCGTGTCAAAAATAGCTTCTCCTTGGTCACAATGTGTCACATGACCCAGTTAGACCCTTTCCGGGAATTTTGACGGGCTGGGTTATCTTGTTTGTCAGTCGTTAGATATTTATGAAGCAGCTACTCTATGCCAGGCTCTGGGAGTCGGGGTGAAGTAGGGAGGCAAGGTTCCTGCCTGTAATGATGTTGCAGATGAGACTGGTTTGACTGCTAAGGGCTGCCAGGAAGATCTGAGAGCTGGATGGGAGGGAGGGCCTCGGGGCCTCTTGGAACAGGCAGCCTTTGAATCAAGACCTGAATGGTAGGAAGGCACAAGCGGTGGAGTCTTGGAGAAGAGAATTTCAACCAGAAAGAACAGCCAGTGCAAAGGCCCAGAGACAGGAATAAACTTGGTGCGTTAAAGGGACGGGAAGGAAGGTCTCTTCCCGTGGTTGGAGAGTGGAGGGGGTGCAGTCAGAGAGGGCAGGACCTCTCTGAGGCGGGGCGTTCATCCCGAGTGCCCTGGGGAGACGAGAGCTCTGAGCAGGGAGTGATGTGGAGATGGACTGCGGGAGGTGGGTGGAGGCTGTGGGAGGAGGTGGTGGGCAGAGACTGTGGGCTGCAATAGTGATGTGGCTCTTTGGGGTGGATGACTAGGTGAGGGGACGTGTCCGGGGCCCCGAGGTTCACCCGCTTTGGGCAAGCTCCCAAGCCCACTGTGGGATGATGATGACAGCACCTGCCTTGCAGGTGTGGACCAGTCAGTGCATGGCCCTCAGTGAACACTAAGTGCATGTTAGTTATTAACCCATTGTTATTGCGGTTGGGCTTAGGGAGGGCTGGAGGATGATGCCTAGGTGTCAGGCCTGAGCGACCTCCTGGGAGGAGTCACAGACTGAGATGGGGAAGGCAGGAGAGGGGAGGACGGGGGCATGGCTTGGGCTTGGCAGTGCCGGGTTCGCGATGCCTCTTCACTGTCCAGCAGACACAGGGAGCAGGAGCCAAGTGGGCTTGTAGCTGCCTGGGAGGGAGGCGCAGGCTAGGTGGTATTTTAAGCCACAGGACTGGATGAGATCACAGGACTGGGGAGAAGAGAAGGGAGGTGGGATGGCGGAGCTGGGCACTGCACGGTGTGGGTCATGGAGAGGCCAGAGGCAGGAGAGCAAGGGGCGACCTGGAGAGGGACCCTCAGGCCTGGAGGACTCAAGGAGGAAAACGAGGGCCAGTCCAGAGCCTCCATCAGAGCTGCTGAGAGGGAAGGGGGCACAGAGGAGCTCTGGAGGGGGCTGAGGGGAGACTAGGAGGTGAGGAAGAGTGGAGAGTAAGTCATGCCCTTCAAGAAGGGCTGCAGGCCGGGCACGGTGGCTCATGCCAACACTGTGAGAGGCTGAGACAGGAGGATCACTTGAGCCCAGGAGTTTAAGATCAGCCTGGGTAACATAGGGAGGCCCTGTCTCTACAAAAAATTAAAAAATAAGCCAGGGATGGCAGCACACACCTCAAGTCCCAGCTATTCGAGAGGCTGGGGTGGGAGGATCGCTTGAGCCTGGGAAGTCAAGGCTACAGTGAGCTGTGATAGTGCCACTGCACTCCAGCCTGGGTGACAGCGAGACCCTGCCTCAAAAAATAAAAAAAGAAAGAAAGGCTTCTGCACTTTACAGTTTACAAACCCCTGCCCACACTGTTCGCCTTGGCAGCATGCCTGTTCACTGGGTGTTATTCCTTCCCATTTTACAGATGTGACTCAGAGAGGTTAAGAAATTTTCCCAAAGCCACGCAGCCCATAGGTGAAGTGTTCTCAGACTTTCGGGGTGACAGTCCTTTTTTTTTTTTTTTTTTGATGGAGTCTTGCTCTGTCACCCAGGCTGGAGTGCAGTGGTGCAATCTCAGCTCACTGCAAGCTCCGTCTACCGGGTTCACACCATTCTCCTTCCTCAGCCTCCCGAGTAGCTGGGACTACAGGTGCCCGCCACCACGCCTGGCTAATTTTTTGAATTTTAATAGAGATGGGGTTTCACCATGTTAGCCAGGATGGTCTCGATCTCCTGACCTCGTGATCCGCCCGCCTCGGCCTCCCAAAGTGCTGGGATTACAGGCGTGAGCCACCGCGCCCGGCCACACAACCTTATGAATGCCTTCTCTGGAAAATATGCATGTGTACACATTAATTTTAAAACTTTTCATGTGCATTTTCCCACAGGTAATACATTCATACGGTTCTAAAATTTAAAAAGACACAAACGGGAATACAGTGACAGTTCTTCCTCCCACCCTGTCCCCAGCCACCTGCTTTCCCTCCCCGGAGCAGCCAATGTCACCAGCTTCCTGGGTCTCCATCCACAGACAAGCAGAGACAAGCAAATATGTGTATCTATAAATTTCTTCTCTCTCCTTTTTTACACAAATGGTAGCTACTATACTCACCGCTCATCACTGTTGCCTTCTTTTGCTTAAAAATACATCTTGAAGACCTACATTGCTCCTCACAGAGCTCTCTCCTGGCTTTTTCTGTCTGTGTGCTGTGCCATTCGTGGATGGGCATTTGGGCCGCTTCCAGGCGGTGCTGCTGAAGGCAAGGCTGCTCATTCCCCACGTGTGAGTCTCAGGCTGGAGTCCCAGGAGGGCCCAGGAGGCGTCACAGGCGATACCACCCAGTGGCCTCCACTGGATAAGTGAGGGAGTGGGGCTCGAACTCAGCCCTGACTGTTCTCACTCCTCCCTGCTCCCACGCCACTTCTTTAGGGGGCACCTGCTGGGGCCAGCCGAGCATCCCAGAGAAATCCTGTGTGTGAGTGAGAGGGGCACATTAGCCCCCATCCCCCTAGGTTCTGGGAGACACCCCCCACCAGCCGGCAGCCCCAACTCCTGGAGTCTTGTTTGCTGACAGCTAAGGATGAGGCAATGGGATGGGGCAGCAGCAAACACCACCTCACCCCCACCCCCAGCCCCACCCATGCTGGAGTGCGGGGATGAGGGTCAGATGATGATCAGACATGGGCTGTTACCATGTCACCTCTGCTGCAACTTCCCTGACCCCCGCCCAGCAGAACTCCTGGCTCTTCCCCAGCACCTCCCTTTCTGCCCAGCCCATGAGGAGATTTCCCCCTTTCTGGCTGGGGAGGGAGGGAAGCCAAGTGGAGGAGGGACTTGTGGCTACCATGGTCAGTCCTCAGGTGCTCCAGGCTGGGCAGGGCCTACCGGGCAACTCTGCTGAGAGCTCCCTCTCCTGTCTGTGAGCTGGCCTCCCTCCCCTACTCCTCCTGCTCTCTGGCCGGTCCTCCTCATCTGCTCTGCAGCTTCTCTCCCATCTGTGGGGCTGCTGGGGCCGGGTCTAAGACCCCCTCTCCTTTTCCATGCCCTTGGCCCAGCCAGTCTCGCCCACCCTCACAACTCAACCTGTCACCAGCGTTCACCATCTCATGCACCCAGCTCTGCCCACTCTCCCTCTGGAGGCTCGGGATCTGACGTCAGGTAGACATCTGCATTTGGATGTTCAAAGCCACTGCACACTAGAAACCGTCGCTCCCGAAACCTGGCCCCGTTTCAGTCTTCCACCACTACAGGCCACTCTCGACAACCCCCTTCCACCCTCAAACCCTGCGGACTCTTCACCCAGAATGCATGTGTCCCAAATCCATCTCCTTTTGAGCTCCATGGCCACCATCCTGGTAGCTCCAAGCTACCATCATGGTCTTCTCCCCAGCCGAATATACCTCATCACAGCGACTGGCACTGCACTCTGGACAGTGCAGACTTCAAAGGCTAGCTGAGGCAAGGGCCAGGGTGCCACTGGGATTATACTGGGAATGTTTATCTTTTATTTTTATTTATTATTATCTTTTGAGACAGCGTCTCATTCTGTTGTCCAGGCTGGAGTGCAGTGGCAAGATCTTGGCTCACTGCAACCTCTGCCTCCTGGGTTCAAGCGATTCTCCTGCCTTAGCCTCCCGAGTAGTTGGGATTACAGGCATGCACCACCATGCCTGGCTAATTTTTGCATTTTCAATAGAGACGGTGTTTTACCATGTTGACCAGGCTAGTCTCAAACTCCTGACCTCAGGTGATTTGCCCACGTCAGCCTCTCAAAGTGCTGGGATTACAGGCGTGAGCCACCATGCCCAGCCTACTTTTTATGTTTTAGGGAAAGAGTTTCACTATGTTGCCGAGGCTGATCTGAAACTCCTGGGCTCAGGCAATCCACCCGCCTCAGCCTCCCAAAGTGTTGGAATTACAGGCATGAGCCAATACACCTGGCTAGGAATGTTGTATTTCTTTTTTTTTTTTTTGAGACGAAGTCTCGCTCTGTCACCCAGGCTGGAGTGCAGTGTGCAGTGGCGCGATCTCAGCTCACTGCAAGCTCCGTCTCCCAGGTTCACGCCATTCTCCTGCCTCAGCCTCCCGAGTAGCTGGGACTGCAGGTGCCCGCCACCATGCCCGGCTAATTTTTTGTACTTTTTAGTAGAGACGGGGTTTCACCGTGTTAGCCAAGATGGTCTCAATCTCCTGACCTCGTGATCTGCCTGCCTTGGCCTCCCAAAGTGCTGGGATTACAGGCGTGAGCCAATACACCTGGCTAGGAATGTTGTATTTCTTTTTTTTTTTTTTTTTTGAGATGGAGTCTCGCTCTGTCGCCCAGGCTGGAGTGCAGTGGCGCAATCTCGGCTCACTGCAAGCTCCGTCTCCTGGGTTCATGCCATTCTCCTGCCTCAGCCTCCCGAGTAGCTGGGACTACAGGTGTCCACCACCACACCCGGCTAATTTTTGTATTTTTAGTAGAGACGGGGTTTCACCGTGTTCGCCAGGATGGACTCAATCTCCTGACCTCGTGATCTGCCTGCCTTGGCCTCCCAAAGTGCCGGGATTACAGGCGTGAACCACCATGCCCGGCCGGAATGTTGTATTTCTTAAGCCTGGTGGTAGATGCACAAGGCTTTATTTTATTTTATTTATTTGAGACGGAGTCTCACTCTGTTGCCCAGGCTAGAGTGCAATGGTGTGACCTTGGCTGACTGTACCCTCCGCCTCCCGGGTTTAAGTGATTCTCTTGCCTCAGCCTCCTGAGGAGCTGAGATTACAGATGCCCACCACCATGCCCGGCTAGTTTTTGTATTTTTAGTAGAGATAGAGTTTCACCATGTTGGCCAGGCTGGTCTTGATCTCCTGACCTCGTGATCCATCCGCCTTGGCCTCCCAAAGTGCTGGGATTGCACCTCACAGGTCCAAGCCATCCTCCCACCTCAGCCTCCTGAGTAGCTGGGACTATAGGCATGCACCACCACACTCAGCTAACTTAAATTTTTTGTAGAGATGGGGTTTTACCATGTTGCCCAGCATGGTCTTGGATTCACGGCCTCACGTGATCCTTCTGCCTCTGCCTCCCAACGTGCTGGGACTATGGGTGTGAGCCACCATGTCTGGCCTAAGGGCTTTATTGTATTAGTCCTTATTCCTATTTGTCTTAAATATTTCACATGGAAATTAAAACCAGACCAGGCAAAGCCTGACAGCCCGCCAGCCCTGAGGGGGACATCCGCAGCCCTTGCCATCTGCCGCCTCTGTGGCCTCATCCTGGTCCACTCACTCCCAGGCTCACTTCACAGCCACAACCTGGCCTTCCTGCAGCTTCTCAACACCAGACTCAGACTTTTGGAGTATTCTTTCTTTCTTTCTTTCTTTCTTTTTTTCTTTTTTTTTTTCAGAAGGACTCTTGCTCTGTTGCCAGGCTGGAGTGCAGTGGCGCGATCTCAGCTCATTGCAACCTCCACCTCCCGGATTCAAGCGATTCTCATGCCTCAGCCTCCCGGGTAGCTGGGAGTACAGGCGCCTGCCACCACGCCCGGCTAACTTTTTGTATTTTTAGTAGAGACAGGGTTTCACCGTGTTAGCCAGGATGGTCTCTATCTCCTGACTTCATGATCCACCCACCTCCGCCTCCCAAAGTGCTAGAATTACAGGCGTGAGCCATCGCACCAGGCCCTTTTTCTTTCTTTTTTTGAGACAGAGTCTTGCTCTGTCACCCAGGCTGGAGTGCAGTGGCACGACCTCAACCTCTGCCTCCCAGGTTCAAGCAATTCTCCTGCCTCAGCCTCCCAAGTAGCTGGGATTACAGCCACCACACCTGGCTTTTTTTTTTTTTTTTTTTTTGAGACAGAGTATCGCTCTGTCGCCCAGGCTGGAATGCAATGGCATGATCTCGGCTCACTGCAACCTCCCCCCTCCCAGGTTCAAGCAATTCTCCTGCCTCAGCCTCCCTAGTAGCTGGGACTACAGGCGCCTGCCACCACACCTGGCTAATTTTTGTATTTTTAGTAGAGACAGGGTTTCACCAAGTTGGCTGGGCTGGTCTCAAACTCCTGACCTCAGGTGATCCACCCACCTCGACCTCCCAAAGTGCTGGGAATACAGGCGTGAGCCACCATGCCTGGCCTAATTTTTGTAGTTTTAGTAGAGACAGGGTTTCACCATGTTGGCCAGGCTGGTCTGGAACTCCTGACCTCAAGTTATCTGCCCACTTCGGCCTCCCAAAGTGCTAGGATTACAGGCATGAGCCACTGCGCCCGACCTCCTGGAGTATTCTACACCCCACTTCCACAAAGATATACAGTTCTCCGGACAGACTCCCACTTACTACCCAAGTCTTGGCTCTGCCATTTTCTCACAGAGGCCTTTGGAGATGCCCATCAAACCAGAGGCCCGCCCTCTGACTCACCCCATGTTGTACTTTTCCTTCAAACTGCTTAACGCCACACACATCCGGCCGCCTGTGATGGCAAATGCCTACCATCCAGAGTGTGTCTCTCCAGCTCTTGCATAAGCTGGCCGAGTCCAAGGCCTGTGTCTGGCCCACAGCTAGCGTGCAGTCCATAGTAACTGAGTGGAAGCCCCAGCCAGGCAGTGGGGTGTTGAAGCCCCACCTGCCGCCACTGAGGGAGCTGCGGTTGTTCTGGAAAAGAGAAGCTTCAGGGATCCACTGGCCTTCACAGCCCTGTGGGGAAGATGGGCACAGGTATTTGTGGAGGGTGGGAAGCTCTCGAGGGAGGGCAGAGGACTGGCGTCAGCAATTCAGCAAAGGGCACACCTGTGGGTTGAAACAGGTGGCCTCTGGGTCCTCCAGCCCCCAGCGCCTGTGATTTGGCCCTCACCAAAGGCCCCTCTGGACATTTTGGGGAGCTTGCTTGTCAGCCTGCTCCCCCGCCCCACATTCGCTGGCCAAGTGGTTGGGAGGGCCCGGTGGGGTGCAGAGTAGGAGGAATGAGCCGGTTCACCCCTTGCTGCTCCAAGCCCCTGTGGAGCCCAAAGCTTGGTCTCCAGCGTTTGGCTGGACCTGAAATCAGGAACCTGGGTCCTGGCTCCAACTTGCCCTGTGATCCAGTTTCTCCATCCCCATAGGACTGACTTCACAGAACCTGGCACGTAGTAGGACTGGATGTGTACCAGGTGGAAGCAAGCGTGTGACAGTATTTCTTCGAGGCAGGACAGTAGCATGCCTTGTTAGCGTGCTTTGATGCCCATTGCCCAGGCCCACATCCTGGCTTTACCACTTACAAACTGTGTGACCTTGGGCAAGTTGCTGAACCTCTCTGTGCCTTGGTTTTCTTCTAAAACAGGGGTAATGATAATTTCCTCTGAGATCATTGTGAGAATGATAGGAATCGATCAGGGTAAAGTACTGAGTAAATGCGTGCTCAATGCTCAGATGCTCAGCCTGAATTTTTGCGATGTCAGAGGGCTGCCTGGTGAGGGAGGGGCTAGGTGTACCACAGGATTTCGTGGTCCAGAAGAAGGTGGGGAGGGGGACAGCTTTCTTGAGCCCCCACCATGTGGCATGCGCTTTTGGGACAATCCACATCAGGCCCTGCAGGTAGGCACTGCGATGCTCCTTTCACCATTGGAGATACCGAGGCTCAGAGAATCCAGTGACCTGCTAGAGCCAAGTGGGACTCGGCTTGGTTCCAGCCCAGCTCTGTGTGGAACAGCACCGAGGCTGCTCTTCTTGCCCACCAGCTCCCTAGTGCAGTGAATGAAGACAAACTGGGCAGGGCCCTGTGGATGGGGCCCAGGCAGGCTCTGGGATGCTGCATCTGAAATTGAGGGGAGGAAATCAAGAGGGAGCAATGTTCAGCCTTGAGTAAAATGCACCTTATCGATCACTTACTCTGGGCTGGGCACGTGGTGTGCATGATCCCATTTGTCCTCATTACAGTCCTAGGAAGTCTGCTCTATTATTAGCTTCTCCTAAAGATGGGGCATGCAGGGACTAGAGAGGTTAAGTTCCTCGCATAAGGTCACATGGGCACAAAGTTGTTTAGAGGCTCCAGAGCTGAAGCTGCTGCACCAGGCGGGGGGTTCCTGAGACTCATGAAGAGGAGGGAGTCAGGCCTCCCAGGGACAGGGGACTGCAGGGCCTGCAGAGGGCAGTGGCAGGTGGGGACCCTGCCACAGTTTCCCCTGTGGCTCAGTCTGTCTTTGGCTCCCCTTACTCTTTGAGGGGTACAGCTCAAAGAGCCGTGGGCCTGGGGTCTTGAGTTCTCTTCCTCCCTGCAAAGTTCCACTTGTTGGAGTGGAAAGCCCCTCCAATCAAACCAGACCTGAGGGCCTCAGCTGGAGTGGGGACAGACTCTGTGCTCCACAAGGGCTGGGAAATGGGACAGTGGTGTTAATTCTGTCTATTTCTTTTTTTTTTTTTTTCCCGAGACAGAGTCTCGCTCTGTTGCCCAGACTGGAGTGCAGTGGCACGATCTTGGCTCACTGCAGCCCCTGCCTCCTGGGTTCAAGCGATTCTCCTTCCTCGGCCTCCCAGGTAGCTAGGATTACAGGCACTTGCCACCACGCCTGGCTAATTTTTGTATTTTCAGTAGAGACAGGGTTTCACCATGTTGGCCAGGCTGGTCTCGAACTCCTGACATCAGGTGATCCACCTGCCTCGGCCTCCCAAAGTGCTAAGATTACAGGTGTGAGCCACCGTGCCCGGCAAATTCTGTCTATTTCTTCCAGGAAAATCCTCTACCCTTCAGAACCCATCCTGGGTGCGCTGAGCTATGCCCTGGGCTGCGTCCCCTGACCTCCACTGCCCTGTGCTGGCTCCCTCTGGTAGGACATTTGCTGGAGAGTCAGCCTCCCCATCTAGGCCCAGGAGGGCTCAGGGATGGCTGGGGCTAAGGAGACTCAGGAGCGCCCCCCATCTGTCACCTGACTCCAAGCTCTGTCTGGGTGCCTCGTTTTGTACATTTTCCCACCTCTCCTGCCAGGGAGCCATGATGGTCTCCCCATCTTGCAGACAGAGGGAAGGAACTTCTGACCAGAGCATGTTAGTGGTGGAGTCAGGAGTGGAAGGGGTTCCCCAGCTCCCAGTCCAGCATTCTTGGTCATCAGCTTCTGCATCTTTGTCATCACCATTATCAACATCAGTTTTTGCACTTTACCTGCAATGTAATAACGCATGGTGGTTGTCATGTTCATTCAGCAGCGGCCTGGTGAGGAAGGTACCAGTATCGTCATCTCCAGTTTGCAGATGAGAAAACTGAGGTTCAAAGAGGATATGCTGGGAGGTGACAGAGCTGAGACTGAGAGCCAGGTCTTGCCACCCAAAACATATGGGTTTAACCAGCACATTTTCTCATATTGAACAGAGGCCATGTGCTGCAGATAGACAGTGAGGCCTGAGGGCTCAGAGTAGCAGGGTCAGAGAGCCTCAGGGGCTCAGGGTAGGTCTGGAGGGATGGGGAGAGCCTGGGGGTCCCAGGTTGAGCAGGGTGATGTGGCAGGAGAAGGGGTCCCGAAGCCAGAGGCTGGGGACCAGGGTGAGCCAAGGACCTGGAGCTAGTCAGACTCAAGTTAGATTTCCAGCTCAAGCTCAGCATCACCCCTCAACCCCCCGGCATCTCTGTAGCCTGCAATTCTTCAGCTGGGGAGGAGAAATAACAACCCTTCTTGTTACTGTGGTAGGTGCTTAATACATACTTGTTAAATACACAAAGGATACAGTGATGCTTCAATGAGAGAGAGGAGGCAGCGCCTGGCATGGAGTTGGCAGAAATTCCCTGAGAGGGGCTGGAGAGAGAGGATGACTGGTTCCTCGGATCCCCAAGGCTGAGCTCTGTGACCTCAGGCCAGTCACATCACCTCCCTGGTTGTCTCACCCAATAATAGTCACCTCGAAGTCTGGTGGTGGGATGACATGAGATGCATGACAACCTGGCAGGCTGGCACTGGCCACTGCTCTCTAGGCGTGAGCTTCCTGCTCCTGTCTAAAGGAGCAGAGTTTCAGGCAGGGCTGGAGCTGCTGCCTGGCTCTGGCAGGGCCTGGCGGAGGTGCCCCTGCAGTGGCCATGGTGTCTCTGGTCAGTGGCACGGATCTCGGGGAGGAGATTTGCCCTCGAAGCCTTCCAGGTAGCTGGGACCTGCCGAGGCTGCTGCAAGCTGATCAGCTTTTCTTTTGCAAAGGGAGTTGTGGGCAAGGACAGATAAGTTAGTGTCCTAAAATTGTCGGGAAAACCTAAAAGTTGACAGGGTTGGGGTGGTCTTCCTGCCTCCTCTGGACCCCCAGGAGGCAGAGTCTCCAGCCCCTCCCTAATTCCTCAGGATGGGGCAGGATGGCTGGTGTCAGTGGTGAGGCCTGAGCTTCCTTCCACAGCTGTTGACTTACTGTGCCACCTCGGACACGGTGCCATGCCCTGTTCTTGGCCTCGGTTTCCCCAGCTGGCTAATGAAGTCTGGACTAAAGACTTGCAGATTTTGGATGTTTACAGCACAGTAAAATTAAGAGAAAGCCGGATGCAGTGGCTCGTGCCTGTGATCCCAGCATTTTGGGAGACCGAGGCAGGAGGATAGCTTGAGACCAGGAGTTTGAGACCAGCCTAGGAAACATAGTAAGACCCCATCTCTATAAAAAATAGTAATAATCAATTTTTGTGTTTATTTTTATTTATTTATTTTTTGAGACGGAGTTTCACTCTTGTTGCCCAGGCTGGAGTGCAATGACACGATCTCGGCTCACTGCAACCTCCGCCTCCCAGGTTCAAGTGATTCTCCTGCCTCAGCCTCCCGAGTAGCTGGGGTTACAGGCACACACCACCACACCTGGCTAGTTTTGTATTTTTAGTAGAAACAGTTTTCTCCATGTTGGTCAGGCTGGTCTCAAACTCCTGACCTCAGGTCATCCGCCCGCCTTGGCCTCCCAAAGTGCTGGGATTACAGGCGTGAGCCACCGCACCCGGCCAATAATAAATTTTTAAAAATTAAAAGAAAAGTCTGGTAACTGGTGTAGCATTGTCACTTCTTCATTTTGCCAAGAAAAGACATTAACATTTAAAAAGCAGTCAGCATCTCCTATGTCCATCACTTTCTAAAAAAATGTTTGCCACTGAAAGAGTCCCAGGATATAAAGGACAGCAGTACCATTGATCTTTTTTTTGAGATGGAGTCTTGCTCTGTTGCCCAGGCTGGAGTGCAGTGGTGTGATCTCGGCTGACTGCAACCTCTGCCTGCTGGGTTCAAGCGATTCTCATGCCTCAGCCTCCCGAGAAGCTGGGATTACAGGCGTGCACCATCATGCCCGGCTAATTTTTTTGTATTTTTTGTAGAGATGGGGTTTTGCCATGTTGCTCAGGCTGGTCTTGAACTCCTGGCCTCAAGAGATCCGCCTGCCTCTGCCTCCCAAAGTTCTGGGGTTACAGGCGTGAGCCACCGCGCCCGGCCCATTGATCCTTCTTAGGCTCATTTTGCCATGGGCTAGTGGCCTGCACTGGGGGTTTTGGAAACCTCAGGCCCCATTTCACCAATCCCTCTGGTTCTATGTCAAGCTCTGTGACCTTCAAAAAAGTTGGGGAGGATGAGTAGTCCCTTAATTGGAGGAGGACCTGATGCCAGGGAGAGGAAGAACTTGTTCAAGGTCACATACCAGGGCTGTGACAGAGGGCCTCTCCACCTCCCAGGGCCTCCATCGCAGAAAACAAGCCTCAAACTGCATTCTTCTAGTGCACATTCCATGCAAGCAAATTAGGCCCTGCATCCCTGCATCCACAAAAGTGGTTTAATCATAGGGATAAAGCAGACACCTAAACAACCAGGGGTCTTTTTTATTTTATTTTATTTTATTTTATTTATTTATTTATTTATTTATTTATTTTGAGATGGAGTCTCTCTGTGTCACCCAGTCTAGAGTGCGGTCACTCAATCTTGGCTCACTGCAACCTCTGCCTCCCAGGTTCAAGCAATCCTTCTGCCTCAGCCTCCCTAGTAGCTGGGATTACAGGCGCCCGCCACCATGCCCAGCTAATTTTTTTGAATTTTTAGTAGAGACAGGCTTTCACCAAGTTGGCCAGGCTGGTCTTGAACTCCTGACCTTGTGATCCGCCCGCTTCAGCCTCCAAAAGTGTTGGGATTACAGGCGTGAGTCACCTAGCCCAGCAGGGCCCTTTAAAAAAAAAAAAACATCTCTAGTCAGAGGAGGATGGTACTGAATTGTCAAGGCCTTTTGACCCTCTCCTGCCATCGTCAGCCTTCCCTGGGAAGCCCCATGTGACAAGGAAGAGAAAATCTGGCCATCTCCTGGTGGTTGTCACATGAGAACACAATGCCAAGCTCATACCCTTCACTTTTTGGCCAGGCCTTGCACGGGTCAGCCTCGAATTAGCAGCTGAACCTCTCTCTCCTGCTAAAATGGTCTGTGGTGGCAGCAGCGTGCTCTTATTTGAGCAAGTCACTGCAGACCAAGGGTTTTCAGGGGGATGGGATGTCACAGAGGCTGCTCCATGGGGAAGGGTGGAGGTCTGAGAAGTGCCAGGGAAGCAGCTTTCCTGCTAAGCTCCAGGATGTGCTGGGGGCACTGGGAACCCAAGACAGGGCCCAGCACATAGCAAGGGCTCAGGACACCTGCTGTGGGCTGTCGGGGAGGCACCGGGGTGAGGGGTAAACCATGTCCCCATCGGGCTGCACTGTGGAGGCCAGTGGGCTGGTGGGCCTGGGGAGTGAGTGTTGCCGCTGGGGCTGAGGATTGTGGAAGCTCAGAATTGACCCTGGGCACTCGATAATGGGGAGGAGTGGGCACTGCTGGCGAGGGGATGCCCAATCTCTGTAGCCATCAGGGGATCGGCTCCCTTACCCCCAAGGCCCCTCCAGAGGTGGGGAAGTCCAGGAAGAGATCTCGTCTGCAGCACCAGGTGAACTCGCCATGTCAGGAGGCAATCCCACCGGGCAGAGAACCAGGGATCCCCTGGAACCCTGGGCTTGTGTTTGGCCTTGGGCAGGGCCCCCCACCTTCTCTGGAGCTCAGTGACCTCACCCGTTGAAGGCCTGGGCCGCCACACCCTGTCCCCTCTGCCTCTATCCTGCACACCTGTGGATGGTGGTCCAGTTTGGACTGGCTGGTTTCTTCTCTTCCCTTGCCCCAAAACCCACTCCAGCCCCCTGCAGGGAGGAAGTGGATGAGGAGCTCTGGGGTGGGGGTGAGGCCTTGTTCAGGGCTGGCCCACCTGGCTCCACTCTGGGACTCTTAGCAAGTCCTTCCTATCTCTGGATGTCCTTGGTCTCCGATATAAAATGAGGGTCCTGAACTCGGTGACCCTATGCTCCTCCTGTCCTGACAGTCCGCGGTGCCCCTGGAGCCATTTCAGGCAGTGGGACAGAACAGGGGGAATACATTTAGCAAAGAAAGGCCTCCCTGAAAACTCTATTTACAGAGCAGAAGGTGTGCCTGGCCCCAGAACCCCAAGCCTTTCTCCTGGAGCCCTGGCTGCTGGGATGCTGCGGGAGGGGGCAAAGAGGGTCTGGGCCTCCCAGCTCTGAAGGGCCAGCATTACGTTAGAGGCCGTGCCTGCATGACCTGTCGGGTCTCCAGCATGATATCTCATTGGCCCAATTTTCTCATTTTCTTTTTTTTTCGAGACGAAGTCTCACTTTGTTGCCCAGGCTGGAGTGCAGTGGCACGATCTCGGCTCACTGCAACCTCTGCCTCCCAGGTTCAAGCGATCCTCCTGCCTCAGCCCCCCAGTAGCTGGGATTACAGGCACACGCCACCATGCCCGGCCTAATTTTTGTATTTTCAGTAGAGACGGGGTTTCTTCATGTTGGTCAGGCTGGTCTCAAACTCCCAACCTCAGGTGATCCACCCGCCTCGGCCTCCCAAAGTGCTGGGATTACAGGCGTGAGCCACCGCACCCAGTCAGCCCCATTTTCAAGATGAGGAAACTGAGGTTCAGAGTAGTCAACAGCTCGCCCAAGTCACACAGTGGATCTAGGACTTCAACCCAGGACTGTAGGAGCCAGGGAGCTCTTTGAGAACCAGGGGAATAGGGAGAAGAACTCGGAGTCAGGGTGGGTGACCGCGGGGGAGGAGGTGGGGGCAGGGCTCACTCTCCCTGGGCCCGGAGAGGGAGTTTCTCTTGGGAAGAGGCAGGCTCTGAGGCTGTTGATCTCTAAATTATAGCGTTGGCGCGTACCGGTTGCTGCGGCAACCGAGTTGTCCTGAACCGGGGAAGTGTATAAACATTGCCACAGATGCACAATTAGATCAGGAAGAAGAATAGAACAGAAAATAGAAACTTCCAGCCTTATGTAATTCTGGGCCAAAATGTTATTGGGAACCCAGGCCCAGTCCTGGCCCTGCCAGCTGCTGGGGCCTGGGGCAGCAGCATGTCTTCCCTGGGGACGCAATGGCAGAGAGGGGTGGAGAGAAGGTCTGTCCTCTACGGGCCCGAGGCGCATCCCGCCACCCAGTGGGGTGAGGGGCCTCTTCTGCTGCAACAGCTGGGGATGCTTGACAGGCAAATCCTGCCTGTCACCAGCTCCTGGGAAGTGTGGGAAGGAAGGCAGGAGGGTGATGGCTTTACCCCAGCACCTGCTGTCCCCGTAGGTCCCATGAGGTAGGGAGTTTTGGTGCCCATGTTACATGAAGACATGGAGGCTCTGAGAGGTGAACTGAATTGCCCGAGGTGTGTCCTCCCCTCCCACTCCCTGTCTCCCCGCCATCAACTCATTCATGTTGGTGCCACGCAAGTTTGTATCCACTGCCAGCTTTGTGGCTGGCAGGTGGCTTTCCATCTCTGAGCCACCTGGGACATGGGAATAGCGATGTCTACAGAGGAGTCAGAGCTGGGGGCTCCCCCTTCCTCCACCCTGACTGTCACATTGGATTCTCCCCTCACCACTGCTCCTAACAAGTGTGGGCACTGGGCAGGAATTTGGGCTCAAGGACTCAAAGCAACACTGGGAGAGAAGAGTCTAAGAAAGGAGCTCAGACCCAGGTGGGGCTGCGGGTCCCAGTAGAACTTTTTCTTTCTTTTTTTTTTTTTTTTTTTTTTTGACATGGGGTCTTGCTCTGTGACCCAGGTTGGAGTTCAGTGGCATGATCACAGCTCACTGCAGCCTTGACCCCCTGGGCTCAATAGATCCTCCTGCCTTAGCCTCCTGAGTAGCTGGTACCAGAGGCATGCACCACCATGCCTGGCTAATTTTCTTATTTTTTGTAGAGATGGGGTCTCACTCTGTTGCCCAGGCTGGTCTCAAACTCCTGGCACAAACAATCTTTGCATCTCGGCCTCCTAAAATGCTGAGATCACAGGCATGAGCCCCTGTGCCCAGCCAGAAATTTCTCAGTGATAGAACTCTCCTGTGTCTTCTCTGTCCAGTGTGGTGGCCGTTGACCACATGTGGCTCCTGATCACTTGAAATGTGGCTCATGCAAGGAAGGAGCTGCAGTTAATATTTTATTTCGTTTTAATTAAATGTAAAGAGCCACACGTGGCCAGTGGCTAGTGCACAGGAGGATGTCCAGCCCCCGAGAAGCCCAAAAGTGCAGAGATGGAATCCAGGGAGGGAAGCGGGCTTAGCGCCTCCGTGGCTCCCTATGCTCAGGGCAAGCAGGACAGAGGGACAGGGAGGAACCAAGATGGGCATCAGGAAGCTTCCAGAACAGTGAGCATAGGAGGGCCGGAGGGGCAGTGTTGAGGGGCAGGGACTAGGACCTGGATCCTTGTGGCTTTAGCTTCCTGGTCTATGGACCCCAGTCTCTAAGCTGGGCCGGACTGGGTGGCACTGGCTCAGACCCTGTCATCAGAGCCACCTCTGCTGCCACCCTCCGCCTGCCGGGGCAGAGGAAGTCTTAGGTCCTGGTCCAGGCTCACCTGCTTCTGAGAGTCTTGGGGCTGAGTCTGAGTGGCCCCGAGGGAGCCCCTCGCTCCCCAGCATCTCACCTGTCCGGCTTCTCCTCCGCAGGCCCTGCGTCTTCCCAGGTGACCACGCCGGCTTCAGGACATGCACGGACACAGCCGCAACGGCCAGGCCCACGTGCCCCGGCGGAAGCGCCGCAACCGCTTCGTCAAGAAGAACGGCCAATGCAACGTGTACTTCGCCAACCTGAGCAACAAGTCGCAGCGCTACATGGCGGACATCTTCACCACCTGCGTGGACACGCGCTGGCGCTACATGCTCATGATCTTCTCCGCGGCCTTCCTTGTCTCCTGGCTCTTTTTCGGCCTCCTCTTCTGGTGTATCGCCTTCTTCCACGGTGACCTGGAGGCCAGCCCAGGGGTGCCTGCGGCGGGGGGCCCGGCGGCGGGTGGTGGCGGAGCAGCCCCGGTGGCCCCCAAGCCCTGCATCATGCACGTGAACGGCTTCCTGGGTGCCTTCCTGTTCTCGGTGGAGACGCAGACGACCATCGGCTATGGGTTCCGGTGCGTGACAGAGGAGTGCCCGCTGGCAGTCATCGCTGTGGTGGTCCAGTCCATCGTGGGCTGCGTCATCGACTCCTTCATGATTGGCACCATCATGGCCAAGATGGCGCGGCCCAAGAAGCGGGCGCAGACGTTGCTGTTCAGCCACCACGCGGTCATTTCGGTGCGCGACGGCAAGCTCTGCCTCATGTGGCGCGTGGGCAACCTGCGCAAGAGCCACATTGTGGAGGCCCACGTGCGGGCCCAGCTCATCAAGCCCTACATGACCCAGGAGGGCGAGTACCTGCCCCTGGACCAGCGGGACCTCAACGTGGGCTATGACATCGGCCTGGACCGCATCTTCCTGGTGTCGCCCATCATCATTGTCCACGAGATCGACGAGGACAGCCCGCTTTATGGCATGGGCAAGGAGGAGCTGGAGTCGGAGGACTTTGAGATCGTGGTCATCCTGGAGGGCATGGTGGAGGCCACGGCCATGACCACCCAGGCCCGCAGCTCCTACCTGGCCAGCGAGATCCTGTGGGGCCACCGCTTTGAGCCTGTGGTCTTCGAGGAGAAGAGCCACTACAAGGTGGACTACTCACGTTTTCACAAGACCTACGAGGTGGCCGGCACGCCCTGCTGCTCGGCCCGGGAGCTGCAGGAGAGTAAGATCACCGTGCTGCCCGCCCCACCGCCCCCTCCCAGTGCCTTCTGCTACGAGAACGAGCTGGCCCTTATGAGCCAGGAGGAAGAGGAGATGGAGGAGGAGGCAGCTGCGGCGGCCGCGGTGGCCGCAGGCCTGGGCCTGGAGGCGGGTTCCAAGGAGGAGGCGGGCATCATCCGGATGCTGGAGTTCGGCAGCCACCTGGACCTGGAGCGCATGCAGGCTTCCCTCCCGCTGGACAACATCTCCTACCGCAGGGAGTCTGCCATCTGACCTCCAGGCCCGGCCCTCACCACTGCCCACAAGAGCCTCTGCCGGGGGTGGGATGCCAGGACACCCCCTCCCACACTCAGGACAGAGCCAACCCTGGCTCCGTGGACCTTCTGGAGGAAGGTGGGGGTTTCAAAGACTGGGGGACCCCTTCCTCCTGACTCCAGCACCCAGGCCTGGGAAGAGCTCGGCCCCGATCAGCCTGAGTTCCGCCAGCGCCTACTTCTGGTGGCTCTAGGTCCCCGGATCCACCACCCTTCCCCCACTGACTCTTCAAGGACGTGCCCTCTTTGCTCTCAGAACCTTGGGGAAGGTGGCTGGACTGCTGGGCGGGGGACATCTCGGGGTTTCAGGGTGGGCAGGGGGTTAGTTTGGGGAGGGGGGGGTGCGTTTCTTTTGCATGACTGTGGCCTGTTGCTCATGACTTTCTTTTGTAAATATCTATAAATGGAGACAGATGGAGACACCAAATTCACTTTCTGCCGTTTTTACCTGCTGGACAGGGAGATGCAGTCCCTCTCTGTGCACCCCTCCCCACCCAGCCCATCAAGCCTAGCGCCTTCCCCTGCCCAGCTGGCTGGCCCCTTGAGGCCCTCAACGCCAGCCACCTTGGCCCTTGGATGGTGTTGGGTTTGGGTGCAGAGGAGGGACTCTGAGGGGTGGGATGAGGGACCATCCCTCCCTCCCTGCAGTCCCTCCAGCCCCGGGCCCAGCCCAGATTGACAACAGAGTTTGTAACCATATATATATATATATATATATATTTTTTTTTTATTTTTTATTATTATTTTTTTTTCTTGAGACGGAGTTTTGCTCTTGTTGCCCATGCTGGAGTGCAATGGAGCAATCTCGGCTCACTGCAACCTCCGCTTCCCAGGTTCGAGCGATTCTCCTGCCTCAGCCTCCTGAGTAGCTGAGATTACAGGCATGAGCCACCATACTCAGCTAAGTTTTGTATTTTTAGTAAAGATGGGGTTTCACCATGTTGGCCAGGCTGGTCTCGAACTCCTGACCTCAGGTGATCCACCCACCTTGGCCTCCCAAAGTGCTGGGATTACAAGTGTGAGTCACCGCACCCAGCCGTAACTATATATTTTTAATAAAGTACATGGTCCATTAGGGGTAGGCTGGTTGAAGATGGAGGGGTGAGAAGGAGAGAAAGAGAGTGAGCAAGCACACATGTAATTGTGCCTGTGTGTGTCGTGTGTGTGCCTGTGTGTCATGTGTGTGCCTGTGTGTTATGTGTGTGCCTGTGTATGTGGCCCTTTCTGAGTGACTGACCCTTGGAGGGAACTTTACCACCTGCCATTCTCCTTCCGGCGAGTCAATAGAAGGATCTGGAGTTGGCATCAAAGAACCAAAAGCTTTGATGTCAGAGCTTTGTTACCTAGTAGCTGTGTGACTGTCAGCTCTTGGCCTCAGTTTCATCCTCTGCAGAATGGGATTAACCATCCCTCCCGCCTGCAATGATGGGCAGGACAGCCCTGTGTGGACGTCAGCCAACCCTTCCTAACTCAGGTGGAAGTGGGAAGGGCCCACCCGATCCGCACCTCCCTACATACATGCAGATCCACACACCGCTGGTAGAGCTGGCGGCAGGACACTGATGGGAAGGGCACAGGGGCCAGGAAACCTGGTCACAGACTTAACCAAGACAGGCTTGGTCTCTGCTCTCTGTGGGACCTCGGGTAAGTCCCTTCCCTTCTCTGCCTTCGGTTAGCCTATGCTCTATAACCAGCCAGCACAAAACAGAGACCAATGACGCATCCTCTCTTAGGGTCCTGTGGGTGGGCTGGGGTTCCTAGCTGATTTCTCCTGGGCTTACCCGGCAGCTGTGCTCAGCTGGAACATCAGTGGGCCTGGAAAACCCCCGATGAGCCCATGTACATGTCGGCAGCTGGTATGGCTTTCTGGGGTGGTGGTGGGGTTTGGTTCTCCTCCAATAGGCTGCATCACATTCCTTCATGGCGACTCCGGGCAGCAACCTACGAGGGCAAAGGTAGAAGCTGCAAGGTCTCCGGAGGCCTAGCCCCTTGAACTTGGATAACATCATTTCCACTGCAGTCTATCGGCCAGAGTCCAGGTCACGAGGCCAGCCCAGATTCAAAGGGTGGGAAATTAGTTTCCACCTTTTGGGAAAGAGGCAAAGTCACATTGCCAAGGACATGCCGAGCAGGAGGGAGCTGTGGCCATAGTTGGTCATCTATCCCAGAGCCTTGGAGTTTGAGGGTTCCTCCCACCCGACTTCTACTCTACAGGCTGACTGTGTGCCCCAGGCTGAAAGGAAGCAGAAGGCACCCTTCTGGGTCCCAGGGATCTTCCACACAAAGGTGCCAGCTGCCTCTAGAAACAGGGAACCAGCAGGCAAGCTTACCTGCTGTGCAGCACAGCGAGCTGCCTTGTGAATGACCACGTCTCACCAGCCCCGGCAGCATAGCTGCCGTTTGGGTGGATCACTGTGCACCCCGTATGCTGCGCTGCTGCAGAAGGAAACTTGAGGCCTCTTTCCTGGAGACAGAGCCAAGCTCAGGATCCAAGCCTCCCAATAGATAACTCATAATGTCTCTCATTTGCATAACACCTTTCACGTCCTTGGGTTCATTGAACTCTTACGAAACTCCAAGAGGAAGCCAGGACAAGGATTATGGCCTCCTTTTACTGATGAGGAAATAAATAGAGGCCCAGAGAACCAGGGGGCTGGCTGGAAACAAAGTGAGGACAGTCAGAGGCCCGGGAGCCTGCTTCTCCTTCACTCCATCCTCTCCCAGGTGGGGGCTCAATGAGGGGGAGGGGCTGCTTCCTTTCCTCCTCTGTGCCCTCCCAGATTTCCCAGAGTGCACCTGTGGCCTTTGGCCCCCACCCCCACCGAAGAGCCTGTGGGGGCCGCTCAGCAAGAAGGAAATTCAGTGGCGCATCTGCCCACATTCTGGAAGGACCCCTGGTCCCCTTCTGTCAGGTGAGTACCCCAGGGTCTCAATCCTGACCCTGGAGGCTCATGAGAGATGTCCCTCTATCCAGCCCTGCAGGCCCTGGGTGGGTCTCGCCAGGTCTCCCCACTCCTCCCACCACATCCCCAGGATGCCACGGCTTCCTGGGCTACGAGCAGTAACTGAAGAGGATTCAGGCTCAGGTGCTCCCAGACTCAGAAGCCTCCACCTAGAGCACGTCTTAGGGGATGTCTACCCTCCTCTAAGATGTGCGAGAGGCCCGGATGCAGGGTGGGGAAGGGGTACATGTGGGGTTACCCCCAAGAGGGCCCATCATCCACCATCCAGAGCAACATGGGGCGTTCCAAGGTCCCCCCAGGCCCTTCACCAGCTTGCAGCTTGCTCATATGCTTGTGGTAGTTGCTCTTTTGGGAGAGGCCTGGTCTCTCTGGTCACATGCAAGGTGACCTGTGGCAGGGTCACACAGAAGAGGCAAGTGAAAGCCCAAAGCCAGGACTTCTGGAGTGCCAAAGGGCAGTGCCAGTGTGGGCACTGGGGGAGGGGGCCACGCGGTGCCGAGAGCCCGCAGCTGCAGGGAGGCTCCCAGGCCTGGCTGCGCTGCAAACTCCTGCTGGCTCAGCTCTGCTCGGGGCTGACTCACCTTCCCTCTCCCACCTGTTCCCCTTTCACAGCCCTCCCACCTGCCTCCCTCCTCGTGCCGCTCCTCTGATCCCTCACTCCACTCCGGCTCCTGCGGCGCTGACGGAGCGGGGTGGGGGGAGTTGCTGCGTCTGGGGGTGTAAGAACCTTAGATGTCACGGAGCTTGGAATTGTGCCAACGGGCAGGCTGAAGGGGCCTTAAAGTGCTGCCAAGCCCTCCTCATGCCACACCAGCTTCCCTGCAGAGCCAGGGTAAGGAGACCCCCTCTGCCCTGCCCTGCCCTCTCTTCCCCACTTCGGTCACAGCCTCTTGGGGAGCAGGAGTGGTGGGCAGGATGGAGAGAATGAAGAGGGTATCATGCATGTGGAAGAAAAGGAGGAAGACAGGGAGGGAGGAAGAGGAAGAAAGGGAGGAAGACAAGGAAGGAGGAAGAGGAAGAAAGGGAGGAAGACAGGGAGGGGGGAAGAGGGCGGATCTAATGGGAGCAAAAAACCCCGCCCTCATCTGGCCACACCTGCCTGCCTGCCTGGAATTCCACGGTTCAGGCCTAATCCTTGTAGATTCACCATGGCTTCCTTCCCACCAGCTTCTGGAAGATTTATCTTCCTTATGAACTCAAATAGCTCACAGAAGAATAGAAAAGAACTTAGGAGGCATCCGACTCAGCTATTTCACCTCATTGCGTTCACCCCTGTCTTTGTTAGAGCCCATGGCTGCGATCAGATGACTGCTTCCTGCGTCTAGCTTTTCTCATTGCAGTTTTTTCCAGGTATTGACTTTTCTGGGTATTGATGGATTCTACATCTTTTCAATTTTTTTTTTTTTTTTTTTGAGATGGAGTCTCGCTGTGTTGCCCAGGCTGGAGTGCAATGGCGCAATCTCGGCTCACCACAACCTCTGCCTTCTGGGTTCAAGAGATTCTCCTGGCCAGGCGTGGTGGCTCACACCTGTAATCCCAGCACTTTGGGAGGCCAAGGTGGGCAGATCACCTGAGGTTGGGAGTTCGAGACCAGCCTGACCAACATGGAGAAACCCTGTCTCTACTAAAAATACAAAATTAGCCAGGCATGGTGGCACATGCCTGTAATCCCAGCTACTTGGGAGGCTGAGGCAGGAGAATCGCTTGAACCCGGGGGGGCAGAGGTTGAAGTGAGCCGAGATCATGCCATTGTACTCCAGCCTGGGCAACAAGAGTGAAACACCATCTCAAAAAAAAAAAAAAAAAAAAAATAGATTCTCCTGCCTCAGCCTCCCGAGTAGTTGGGATTACAGGTGTGCACCACCATGCCTGGATAATTTTTTGTATTTTTAGTAGAGACGGGGTTATGTTGGCGAGGCCAGTCTGGAACTCCTGACCTTGTGATCCGCCCTCAGCCTCCCAAAGTGCTGGGATTACAGATGTGAGCCACTGCGCCCGGCCTTCAATTTTTAATGACTATAGAATGTTCATCAAATTATAGAAGATCAAAAATTATACACCATTATGGATCATCAAGGCAACCCCTCATTTACAGATAGAGAAACTGAGACCTGGAGCAACGCAGTGATGAACATCTTTGTTCACTATTTTTTCTTCTTGTGCCTGTTTGCATAAGCTGAGTACAAGGTTCAAAAGCTAACAGAATTCTGGGCTCTGTCTGGCAGGCTGTAGAAATGCACCCTTCAGCCTTTGAATCTTCCTACAAGGACGATGTAGACCTGGGTCCCAGGAATTGGAAAGCGAAGGAGCTTTAAATCCAATATCCTGGCCAGGCACGGTGGCTCATGCCTATAATCCCAGCACTTTGGGAGGCCGAGGTGTGTGAATCACAAGGTCAGGAGTTCAAGACCAGCCTGGCCAACATGGCGAAACCCTTTCTCTACTGAAAATACAAAAATTAGCCGGGCGTGGTGGCGTGGGCTTGTAATCCCAGCTACTCAGGAGGCTGAGGCAGAGAATTGCTTGAACCCGGGAGGCAGAGGTTGCAAAGAACTGAGATCATGCCACTGCACTCCAGCCTGTGTGACAGAGTGAGATTCTGTCTCAAAAATAAATAAATAAATAACCAATATTCCCCTTCACAGCCACGAAAGGGGCTCCTAGTCAAGAGAGTGAATGAAGATGAGGAAGAATGGCAGGCAATGGGCACAATAATGAGACCAGGGCATGGGGCCGAGAGCACTGGCCTCTATGTGCCTATTCACAGAGAGGAAAGATCACGGGTATCAGAGCCAGAGGGTCCTAGATTTGAATCCTGCCTTTACCACTTACTAGCTGTGCAACTTTGGGCAAGTTAATTGATGTCTCTGAGCCTGTTTCCTTATCTGAAAGAGCCATTCATATCTATCTCACATGCTTGCTGTGTGCGTTAAATGAGATCCCATATGTGACCAGGCATGGCATGGTGTCAGGTACATTACTGGACCTAAATAAATACGAATTGCCTTCTGGAAGGGATTTGGATTGGCTTACAATATAAGACACACAATTTGAAAATGGACCTCTGAGCTACCTGGCAGCCATGGAAAAAGGGACACCTGATGGTTACTTTGCTCTCAGTCTATGAAAACTGGAAGGCTAGAGAGAGAGCTTGGGTTTGACCACTGTGTGATCTTGGGTGTTCTCTTCTCTTTCCTGGGCCTCATTTTCCCCATCTTCAAAGTTAGGAGCTAGGCCAGGTGCAGTGGCTCACGCCTGTAATCCCAGCACTTTGATCCCAAGGTGGGTGGATCACCTTAGGTCAGGAGCTCGAGACCAGCCTGATCAACATGGTAAAACCCCATCTCTACTAAAAATACAAAAATTAGCCAGGCATGGTGGTGAACACCTGCAGTCCCAGCTACTCAGGAGGTTGAGACACGAGAATCACTTGAACCCGGGAGGCGGAGGTTGCAGTGAGCTGAGATCATGCCACTGCACTCCAGCCTGGGCAACAGAGTGAGACTCGGTCTCAAAAAAAAAAAAAAAAGGAGCTGGGACCTGATGACCTCCAGGGTCCTGATGTGCCTGACCACCTAGGATTTTGTTCCTTTGGCCTTCAGAAGCTGGCAGGAGGTCTGGGGGAGAGGTGAGGACAGACAGAGATAGGCACTTAGCAAAATTGGCCAAGCCTAGCTTTGCCCCTCCCCCAATCACTGGCCACCCCTCACTCCACTTGCTGCCTGGAACCTGGCAGAACCTTCCCACACAGCCAGAAGCAAGTGCCTGGATCCTGGCCCTCAGCTCACACGCCGGCCCCACCCACCACAGATTCTAAAGGGCGTCTCAAGGTCACGCGATGAAAACCCGTTGAGCACCTTCTGTGAGTAAGGAAGGCCTGTTTTAGCAGAAACCGTTCAGCACTGAACCAAACCGACAAAGATGTAGCTGGGACCCCACCCTTCAGCCCTGTGCTGAGAGTCCTGAAGCCGGCCTCTGGCCTGGGCCCTGCCACCGACGCCAGGTGGGACCATGGGCAAACCCCTGCCGCTACCTGCTCAGGCTTGGGACAGCAGCCAGGGCTTCTTGGTCATGGTCGCTGGAGCCGTCCACTGCGGTTGCAGGGGCTTTGATAATGGGGCAAGTAAGCCAGAGCCCCTGCTGGGTGGAGGTTGCTTTCCGCTCTCACAGTGCCCACAGTGAGAAGGAGGCCAAGAAGAGACCTTTGGTTGTCCCCAGTTCAGAGGAAGAGAGGGGAGGGTGGGGGAATTAGCGACATCACACAGAGGAACAGCCACAGAGCCCTATCCAGAGCCAGGCTCCTGACCCTCCGCCTGTCACCAGGGTTACCTTCTGGGATGTGGCCCCTTGGGATGAGGGTCTGGAGGCCAGCACCTGCCCCTCTGGCCTCCTGGGGCTCCTGCTAAGCAGGGCAGAGGCTCAGCTCACTGTCCTCCCCTTGCTATCCCTGGAACGTCCCCCAGGCCTGTCTGAGCCCCTCCTGCCTCACCTCCCCCCGGGGCCTCTGTCTACACCTGGTGCAGGGCCTAAGGGTGAGTGCACACAGGCGGGAAGGGTTCAGGGAGAGGCGACAGAGCTGTGAGGATGGAAGGGATATTACACACTGATGTGGGAGGAGGTGACAGGGATAGGTTGTGACAGAGATGGGGAGAGAGAGGAGAAACACAGAAAGAGACACTGAGAGAGTCAGAGACAAAAAATGACAGAGAGACAAGGGCTGAGAGAGGGAGGCCTACTGAGGCCCAGGGGCCAAGAGTGAGCCCGAGGGAGGCAGAAGAGAACGCAAAACAGATCAAGCGGAGCTCCAGCAGAGGAGGCACCGGCTTGTGGGTCCGGAGACACCACACTGAGTCACAGGTGGACAGCAACAGGTGTCGGGGCACAGACGGAGGGGAAGTGACAGCCTCCCACCCACTACAAGGACTGGCATGTCTGTGGGGAAGCAGCTGGGTGCTCAGGGACCCCAGGATGGCAAAACCCTAGGCCCGCATGCAGCCAGGCAGAGAGGAAGGTGGGCATTAGAGAAAAGGAGCTAGGGCCAAAGAAGGGATGGCCCCGGGAGAAGGCCGGGGGCGCTGAGCGGTGCGGGAGCTGCACGGAAAAGCCAGAGGAGGCTAAGGAGATACAGAGACCAAGACAGCCCAGCAACTACAGCAGCGGCTGGAACCCAAATCGGGGAGATGAAGGCCAGGCACGGTGGCTCACACCTGTAATCCCAGCACTTTGGGAGGCCGAGGTGGGTGGATCACCTGAGGTCAGGAGTTTGAAACCAGCCTGGCCAACATGGTGAAACCCCGTCTGTACTAAAAATACAAAAAATTAGCCAGGTGTGGTGGCTATAATTCCAGCTACTTGGGAGGCTAAGGCAGAAGAATTGCTTGAACCTGGGAGGCAGAGGTTGCAGTGAGCCAAGATGGCACCACTGCACTCCAGCCTGGGCAACACAGTGAGACTCCATCTCAAAAAAAAAAAAAAAAAAAAAAAGGAGATGAAGAAAACCCAGAGGCTGGAGGGGACAGAGAAGCCCCGCTGCGTGCGTGTTGGGGGCAAAGGACAGGCCTGTTGCCAATGCCAGTTCCGCTTGGCAGCTGTGTGCCCCAAGCCTCCTATCTTCTTCTCTGCAGATGGGGACCCCGATGTCTGCCCTGTGGGCTGGAGCAGGCGGCGACTCTGTCCTGGCTGTGAGATCTCCTCCACCGCCCCTGACTCCTACCCTGTCAGGCCCACCCCCAGTCTCTTATCACCGCTGGAGGGGAATCTGAGCAATCCCCTACGGTAAGGGTCACAGTGAATGGTGCACTTTCCAGGTGATGGAGCCCCTTACTCTCTGATTTCCCATTTGACACCCCCCATCTGCCCTGTGAGGGGGGTTCTGTGATTCCCCCATTGTACAGATGAGGAGGCTCTGAGGGGTGACACGTCTTGCCCAAGGCTTTCTGGCCTTAAGGTTGAAGACTCTTCAGCCTCTGTACCCTGGCAGAGGTTGGCGGGGAGGCGAGTGAGGCTGAAGGGGGGTGCATGGCATGGGTGGGGCCGTACTGGGGGCTGGGCCAGGTGAGCAGGTGAGGACGACACACTAATGACCTGGGACCTTTTCCTGTAGGCAGTGGGGAGCTCTGGGCAGGCTGGGAGCAGAGGAGTGGGTGACGGAGGTGGCATTCAGGAGCTGCACGTGGCAGCTGAGTGGCCTGGAGCAGGGGCTGGGCAGGGATGGGAAGCCAGCAGGCCCGGGTGGGCAGAGTGGCAGCCTGGACGGGGCCAGCCTTCTCGCAGCCTCTGCCAGTCTCCAGGTGTCTGGGGCTGCTGTGGGACATTGAATGGGGCAGCAGGAATAGGGGGGCCACTTTTGGGGTTCCAAAACCAGTCAGGGAGGACCTGGGAAGCTGCCAGAGGCACCTCAGTGGGCAGGAGAGCGCGAGACAATGGAATGACTGGGAAATGGCAGGTGAGAGGAGGGAGGATATGGGCAATTGAGCATGGGGACGGCAAAGGTGGGGCCGTGGAGAGGATGGGCCAGGCTATTCACAGCCCAGTCACTGCAGGGAAGGACTGGGTGCGGAGGGGGCCGCAAATGGCCTTGCCACCTCCTGGCAGCCAAAGACCAGCTTGGGGTCAGGGGGGTAATGAAATCAGACTTCGACTTTGTGGCATCATGAAGGTGGCGGCAGAAGGGTGGGGCCTGGAGCCCGCAGCCTGGGTGAGGGGCCCAACCATGACCTCCCTCTCGGGTGGTCCTGGGCCCAGGGACTTCCTGGCCCTGGGCTTCAACTATAAAAAAGAGGCCATAACAACAGTCCCTCTCTCACAGGGGTGACAACCTGCAACTACATGGCATCGTGCACGTGGATCCACTGCAGCATGGAGCGGGGTCTGCATCAGGAAAGACACTCCTCCTCTTCCCCCGGCCGCAGGTGGGCCTCACTGAGAGACCTGGAGAATGGGTTTGCTGGGGAAGGCAGGCTTCGAAAGCCCCGGGTCATTGCAGCTGCCTCCCAGCCCAGCTCTCTGCCAGCCTCCCCGTGGGACATGTTATAAACATCAGAGTTGGATGGGCCTTGGCCAGGCACGGTGGCTCACTCACGCCTGTAATCCCAGCACTTTGGGCCACCGAGGCGGGTGAATCACCTTAGGTCAGGAGTTTGAGACCAGCCTGGCCAACATGGTGAAATCCTGTCTCTACTAAAAATACAAAAATTAGCTGGGCATGGTGGTGGGCGCCTGTAATCCCAGCTACTTGGGAGGCTGAGGCAAGAGAATCGCTTGAGCCTGGGAGGCAGAGGTTGCAGTGAGCCAAGATCGCGCTACTGCACTCCAGCCTGGGTGACAGAGCGAGCGGCCCCATCTCAAAAAAAAAAAAAAAAAGAAAAGTTGGATGGGTCTTTTGGGACTGTGGCCCGATCTCCTGGAAGTACGGATGGGGACACTGAGGCCCAGACAGGAAAGGGGTTTGCCTGCGTTTGGGCAGTAACTCAGACGCTCACCTGAGGCTGGAGCTTCCCAGGCCTGCCTTCTTGGCTTCAGGCCTGTCTGTGAGAAGGGGCGAGGCTGCAGCCTCCTGTGGGGCGGGACACAGGGCCTCACTGAGCCATCGCGCGTGCAGAGGGCCAGGCACCCGGCAGGTGGTCAGGAAACAGCTGCTCCTTCTGCCTGTGGAGGTCCCGCTCACGCCCACTGCTGGGGTTGGGATTACATCTCAGGCGTCATCCAGACCTGGCCAAATCCTGGCTCTGCCCCTTGCTACTGATTGACCTTGGAGAGGTGACTTGGCCTCTCTGAGCCTCATCTGTAACATGGGGAAGCCCCAGCTCCCACCTCACACCGCTGCCCTGAGGACGGAGGGAGATGATGTCTGTGGGCCAGGCCCCCAGCCCCTCAGCCCCTCAGCAGCCACGGTCCTCTCCCACTCCTTGGCCCGCACCCTCTGCCTCAGGCCGCACCCATAAGGCCCACCCCCTGCCACTCCGGCATAGGGGAGGGCCTGCCCTGGTAGAGGCTGAAGCAACTTCTCACTTCTGGCAGGGAAGTGACTCCAGTTCGCCTCAGGCCCCCAAAATAGAGTCCTATTTTAGCTTCCAGCTCCTCCATGGGGAGGCCCAGAGTGCAGCGGGAGGTGTTCACTGCTGAAACCTGTACCAGCCACTGTCACCCGCCCTCCCGCGCCCTGCCCTGCTCTGCCAGGCACTGCCAAGTGGTGTGCTTGGGCCTCTCCTGCCTCCTGGTAACGTCCCTGTCACCCAAAACCCTCCACCAAACCCCTGGGCTGCCTGTTCCTCCTGGTTGGGTTCCAATTCCAATTCCAATCCAGGGTCTTCATTCCCCCCGACCCATAGGCCCCAAGACCATCGTGCATATCAGAATCTCAGCATTCCCGTTCGCATTATTCAAATTAGGTCACCCGGACCCACGGACCAGTCTGTCCTTCCACAGCCCCATTCCAGGGAAAGCAGAAGTTCTCCCAGGGGCAGGAGGGAGACAGGGCTGCTGAATTAGAACTTGAGCCATAAAATATATTCGTCCAACCCCACAGAACCTTCCCCCCGAGCTACCTATGCCTTCCCGCTCCAGAGGCCTCGCACCTGCAGTGCCCCCAGCCCAGAGCGCCCTTTGTTGTCTCCAGCTGGGACTGGATTGCAGATTGCCTGCGTCCAGTCATGCTCTTACCCCCTCTAGGGACACTAAGGAAGGACGTCCAAGCAGAGGGACAGCATATACAAAGTCCCCTTATAAAAGAGGGGGCTGGGCCGGGCATGGTGGCTTACACCTGTAATCCCATAGCACTTTGGGAGGCTAAGGCAAGCGGATCACCTAAGGTCAGGTGTTTGAGACCAGCCTGGCCTCAAACACTGTCTCTACTAAAAATACAAAACTTAGCTGGGCGTGGTGGCGGGCACCTGTAATCCCAGCTACTCAGAAGGCTGAGGCACAAGAATCACTTGAATCCAAGAGGCAGAGGTTGCAGTGAGCTGAGATTACTCCATTGCACTCCAGCCTGGGCGACAGAATGAGACACCATCTCAAAATAAATAAATTAAATTAAAAAGGGGGCTGCCATCATCGGGCAGGGTGTTTCTGGCTTCCAGAGGAGCTAGGGGGCTTTCAGCCCTTTGCCACATTTTACAGATAAAAAACAAAGGCAGGCCGGGCATGGTGGTTCAGGTTTGTAATCCCAGCACTTTGGGAGGCAGATCACAAGGTCAGGAGATCGAGACCATCCTGTCTAACATGGTGAAACGTTGTCTCTACTAAAAATACAAAAAATTAGCCGGGCGTGGTGGCGGGTGCCTATAGTCCCAGCTACTCGGGAGGTTGAGGCAGGAGAATGGTGTGAACCTGGGAGGCAGAGCCTGCAGTGAGCTGAGATCGCGCCACTGCACTCCAGCCTGGGAGACAGAGCGAGACTCCATCTCAAAAAATAAAAAAGAGAGTGGAGCCAAGCCTTTCTTTCTGGAGGAGGCAAGGGGTTGCGAGGGACCCTCCAATGATCAGACTCTAGATTTGGTGAGTCAATGTGGGGACGGGGTGCAGATGGACGGGAGGGTGGGAGGCAGACTGTGGGCACAGAACTGGGGTTGCGGGCAGGTGGAAAGCTGGAGGTGCTTTGGCTGCATTCCAGAGCACAAGACCATAGTCAGCAGCTCCTCCATTAAAGGGGAAGCCAAGTGGGGCGCAGTGGTGCACACCTGTAGTCCCAGCTACTCAGGAGGCTGAGGTGGAAGGATGGCTTGAGCCAGGAGTTCGAGTCTGATTGCCCCGTGAATAGCCACTGCCCACCAACCTGGACAACATAGTGAGACCCTGTCTCTCTAGAAAAATACAAAATAGAAGGTGAAGACAAGACTCAAGCAAATCTCCCAAGGCCTCCGGGCTCCAGGCTCCCAGCCCCTAGGCCTCCAGGCAGGTTTCCCAACTGCTCTAGGTGCCAGAGTCCCAACATCCAGCCACACTGGCCAGGCTTGAGTCCCATGCCTGTCTTGAAACCACTATTACGGCCAGAGGACCACTCTCACTGGCTAGGCCTGAGCTGTGGGCATGGAGAGGCTTCTGATCTTAATGGGGAGACTGGGGGTCCTGGCTGTGGGCCCTGGCAGCCTTTGGGGAGGGGAGGGAAGGCCAGAGGGTCTGAGAGCCCAGGAGGGGAGGGAGGAAAAAGCCATGGGTGGGGGTGTGTGCAGGAGAAGGTTCATCCGAACCCGTCTAAGCCAAGGTCTGGTCACAAGGCAGCACAGAACCCTGGAATCAGGGTCCCGCTCTGCTGGGCCAGGTAAGGCCACACCAGACCTTGGAGGCCCAGCTACCCCATCTGTCAGATGGGGGCAACAGTCATACCAACCTCACCGGCTGTTAAGAGAGTATAAAGAAGAGTAGGCATTTAGCTCAGCATCGGCAGCTGTTATTTTTATCCTCATCTCTCAAAGTTCGCCTCTCAATCCCAGGCACGCACTGACTCTGGCTCGGCACCAGACAGTTGGCAACGCCCCTTTGCAGCCGGCATCTGCAGGGAGGCACAGGTGTCCCCGTCTACAGGTGGGAGACCAGGCCGAGCAGCCCGAGGTCCCTCAGAGGTCAGAATCAGGACCTCACCCAGAGCCCCCGACTCCAAACCCGGATCCTCCCATGGCCGCAGTGTTGGCCGACTTGAATTAGGGGGGGTTGGTTGGGGGGATGGGCTTCTTCGCCTGTTTTCCCTCCTGTCACAGAAGGACCAGAGTGACCTCATTCTCCCCTCCCCCGGGAAGTGCACCCCAGACAGGGGCTGTTACTAATTATTCTCACTCCTCCGCGGGCCCCTGCGGGCCCCGGGGTCCCTGCTCCACAGCGCCGCCCGGTGGCCGCCTCCGGAGCTGCCGGCTGCTGCAGGCGGACTGGCGTGGCCCCAGCGGAGCCCCCGCACCCGGAGCCCGTCTGGTTCCCCCGGCTTCAGTTCTTGCCCCCACACCCGCCCGCAGGCTTCACTCCTTCCTGCCGCGAGCACCCGGGGGCGCCTGACTCCCCGCACGCGTGTCCCCACGCGCACCACTGCTGCTGCCAGCAGGAGTCACCACGCCCATTTCTCAGGTGTACAGGTCAAGGCTCTGGAGGCGAAGGGACTCCCAAGGTCACGTGGCCAGGACGGGGCGGAAGGACCTTGGGGCAGACAGCCAGGAGTGGGAGGCAGAATTGGAGTCCGGGTATGACTTTGTTCCCTCATTTTGTTTGGAGCACCGGAGTCTGCAAAGTGAGTTTCACAGACACGATCCAGCCCTGCGCTGCTCCCAGCGTGGCCCCCGGGCTACCCGGATCAGCCTCCGGGCTGCGCTGTCCAACACAGTAGCCCCGAGTCACACTGCGCACTTGAAATGTGGCTGGTGTAACTGAGGTGTGCTGTGAATGTAAGATACACACCGGATTTCAAAGACTTTGTAGTAAGAAAGATTGCAGGCCGGGCGTGGTGGCTCACGCCTGTAATCTCAGCACTTTGGGAGGCTGAGGTGGGCGGATCACCTGAGGTCAGGAGTTCGAGACCAGCCTGACCAACATAGTGAAACCCCGTCTCTACTAAAATACAAAAATTAGCCGGGCGCAGTGGCGGGCGCCTGTAATCTCAGCTACTTGGGAGCCTGAGGCAGGAGAATCGCTTGAACCCGGGAGGCGGAGGTTGCAGTGACCCAAGATCGCGCCATTGCACTCCAGCCTGGCAACAGAGCGAGACTGCCTCAAAAAAAAAAAAAAAAAAAGAGAAAGAAAGAAAGATTGCAAACTATCTTTAAATTATCGTTTTTTGTTTTTTGTTTTTTGTTTTAGATGAAGTCTCTCTGTAGCCCAGGCTGGAGTGCAGTGGCGCGATCTCTGCTCACTGCAACCTCGGCCTCCCAGGTTCAAGCCATTCTCCTCCCTCAGCCTCCTGAGTAGCTGGGATTACAGGCACCCACCACCACGCCTGGCTAATTTTTTGTATTTTTAGTAGAGACGAGTTTCACCATGTTGGCCAGGCTAGTCTCCAACTCCTGGCCTCAAGCGATCCTCCTGCCTTGACCTCCCGAAGTGCTGGGATTACAGGCATGAGCCTCCGTGTCTAGCCTTCTTTTTACTTTTTTTTTTTTTTTTTTTTTGAGACGGAGTTTCTCTCTTATTGCCCAGGCTGGAGTGCAATAGCGCTCACTGCAACTTCTGCCTCCCGGGTTCAAGTGATTCTCCTGCTTCAGCCTCCCGAGTAGCTGGGATTACAGGCATGCACCACCACGTCCAGCTAATTTTTGTATTTTTAGTAGAGACAGGGTTTCTCCATGTTGGTCAGGCTGGTCTCGAACTCCCGACCTCAGGTGATCTGCCTGCCTCAGCCTCCCAAAGTGCTGGGATTACAGGCGTGAGCCGAGCCACCATGCCCGGCCTTCTTTTTACTTTTTAATGTAATTGCTGGAAAATTTAAATTGATGTGATGTGGATCATTTTGTGGCTTACATATTGTAGGACAGGGCTAGACTCAATTGGCAAAAGGTGCCCACTCCTGGTCCCCACCTCACACCCCTGACATCCTGTGTGAGATGGGTCCTGGGACCTGCATTTTAATAAGCTCTCTTCAGGATTCTGCAAACTACCAAATCTCAGATTGAAGCTCCAGGAATATGTCGGGCCTGTTCACCGTTATATTTCTCAGGATCTGGCATGGGGCCCAGCACATAGTGGGGTGCTCATTAAATATTTGTCAAGTAAATTGCCTCATCTATACTCATAGTAGGTAAGTAGGGGAGAGAAGACTTTTTTTTTTTTTTTTGAGACTGGGTCTCACTCTGTCACCCAGACCAGAGTGCAGTTGTCCAATCACGGCTCACTGCAGCCTCAACCTCCCTGGGCTCAGATGATCCTCCCACCTCAGCCTCCAGAGTAGCTGGGACTGCAGGCACACACCACCACACACAGTTAATTTTTGTATTTTTTTGTAGAGACAGAGTCTTGCTATGTTGCCCAGGCTGGTCTCAAACTCCCAAGGCTCAAGCAATCCACCTGTCTCGGCCTCCCAAAGTGCTGGGATTACAGACTTGAGCCACCGTGCTTGGCCGAGAAGACATTTTAAAAAATAATAACTGGTCCCTCTCCCTCCCCCTCCCCTTCTCCCCGGTCTCCCTCTGATGCCACCAAAGTTGTGAAAGCCGAGGCTGGACTGTACTGCCGCCATCTCGGCTCACTGCAACCTCCCTGCCTGATTCTCCTGCCTCAGCCTGCAGAGTGCCTGGGATTGCAGGCACGCGCTGCCACACCTGACTGGTTTTTGCATTTTTTGGTGGAGACGGGGTTTCACCGCGTTGGCCGGGCTGGTCTCCAGCTCCTGACCGCGAGTGATCTGCCTGCCTCGGCCTCCCGAGGTGCCGGGATTGCAGACGGAGTCTCGCTCACTCAGTGCTCAATGTTGCCCAGGCTGGAGTGCAGTGGCGTGATCTCGGCTCGCTACAACCTCCACCTCCCAGCCGCCTGCCTTGGCCTCCCAAAGTGCCGAGATTGCAGCCTCTGCCCGGCCGCCACCCCGTCTGGGAAGTGAGGAGCGTCTCTGCCTGGCCGCCCATTGTGTGGGATGTGAGGAGCTCCTCTGCCCCGCTGCCCCGTCTGGGATGTGAGGAGCGCCTCTGCCCGGCCGCGACCCCGTCTGGGAACTGAGGAGTGTCTCTGCCCGACTGCCACCCCATCTGGGAGGTGAGGAGCGTCTCTGCCCGGCAGCCGCCCCGTCCGGGAGGGAGGTGGGGGGTCAGCCCCCGTCCGGCCAGCCGCCCCGTCCGGGAGGGAGGTGGGGGGCGCCTCCGCCCGGCCACTGCCCCGTTTGGGAGGTGAGGGGCGCCTCTGCCCGGCCGCCCCGTCTGGGAAGTGAGGAGCCCCTCTGCCCGGCCGCCACCGCGTCTGGGAGGTGTACCCAACAGCTCATTGAGAACGGGCCATGATGACGATGGCGGTTTTGTCGAATAGAAAAGGGGGAAATGTGGGGAAAAGAAAGAGAGATCAGATTGTTACTGTGTCTGTGTAGAAAGAAGTAGACATGGGAGACTCCATTTTGTTCTGTACTAAGAAAAATTCTTCTGCCTTGGGATGCTGTTGATCTATAACCTTACCCCCAACCCCGTGCTCTCTGAAACATGTGCTGTGTCCACTCAGGGTTAAATGGATTAAGGGCGGTGCACGATGTGCTTTGTTAAACAGATGCTTGAAGGCAGCATGCTCGTTAAGAGTCATCACCACTCCCTAATCTCAAGTACCCAGGGACACAAACACTGCGGAAGGCCAAAGGGTCCTCTGTCTAGGAAAACCAGAGACCCTTGTTCACATGTTTATCTGCTGACCTTCCCTCCACTATTGTCCTATGACCCTGCCAAATCCCCCTCTGCGAGAAACACCCAAGAATGATCAATAAATACTGAAAAAAGAAATAATAATAATAATAATAATAACTGTAGGCCAGGTGCAGTGGCTCAGGCCTGTAATCCCAGTACTTTAGGTTGAGGAGGAGGACTGCTTGAGCTCCAGAGTTTGAGAGCTATATATACACAAGGAAATTAACATATAGTATAATAATAAAATAAAATATATTTTATATACTTATTTTTAAAATCATTAAAATTTTTTATTTTAAAAATTAACATAAAAATTGTAGTTATTGTACACAACATGTTGTTTTGAATTATGTATGCACTGTGGAATGGCTAAATCAAGCTAAGTAATGTAGGTGTCACCACATACTTATTGTTTTATGGTGAGAACACTTAAAATGTACTCTCAGCAATTTTCAAGAATACAATACATTGTTATTAACTGTGGTCACCATGTACAATGGATCTCTTGTACTTATTCCTCCCATCTAACTGAAATTTTGTATCCTTTGACCAACATCTCCCAACACCCCCACTCCCTCTGCCAGCCTCAGCACAACCACCGTTCTCCTCTCTGCTTCTGTGAGTCCAACTTTTTTTTTTGAGACGGAGTTTCGCTCTTGTTACCCAGGCTGGAGTGCAATGGCGCCATCTCGGCTCACTGCAACCTCTGCCTCCCGGGTTCAAGTGATTCTCCCGCCTCAGCCTCCTGAGTAGCTGGGATTACAGGCGTGCACCACCACACCCAGCTAATTTTTTGTATTTTTGGTAGAGACAGGGTTTCTCCATGTTGGTCAGGCTGGTCTCAAACTCCTGACCTCAGGTGATCTGCCTGCCTCGGCCTCCCAAAGTGCTGGGATTACAGGTGAGAGCCACTGTGCCCGGCTGAGTTCAACTTGTTTAGATTCCATAGTTTAAGTGAAATCACGCGTACTTGTCTTTCTGTGCCTGTGTTATTGCGCTTAACATAATGTCCTCTAGGTTCGTTCACGGTGCTGACAGTGACAGGACTGTCTCTTTTTTTAGGCTGAATAGTATTCCATGGTGTATATATACCACATTTCCTTGATCCATTCATCCACCGATGGACATTTTCAGTTGTTTCCACAGCTTGGCTATTGTGAATAAAACTGCAATGAGCATGGGGTGCAGATGTCTTTTTGACATACTGATTTCATTTCCTTTGGATACACACCCAGTAGTGGGATTGCTGGATCATATGGTAGTTCTATTTTTATTTTGTTTTTGAGGAACCTCCATACTGTTTTCCATAATGGCTATACTAATTTACATTCCCACCAACCATATGCAAGGATTCCCTTTTCTTCACGTCCTCTCCAACACTTGTTATATCCAAGATGTATTTCTAAAGATCATTATCTATATAATTTCATTAAACAAAATATTTTATATGAAGGACAAATGACCTGGTTTCCCCAACTAACAAATTGCAAGGAAAATAGAAGAGATAGAGTAGGAACCTATAGATTGAATGAGATTTAAGAGACATTGAGGCCAGGCACGGTGGCTCACGTTTGTAATCCCAGCCCTTTGAAAGGCCGAGGTGAGGGCCGGGCGCAGTGGCTCACGCCTGTAATCCCAGCACTTTGGGAGGCTGAGGCAGGCAGATCACCTGAGGTCAGGAGTTTGAGACCAGCCTGACCAACACAGAGAAGCCCCGTCTCTACTAAAAAAATACAAAATTAGCTGGGTGTGGTGGCGCATGCCTGTAATCTCAGCTACTTGGGAGGCTGAGGCAGGAGAATCGCTTGAACCCGGGAGGCAGAGGTTGCGGTGAGCTGAGATCGCGCCACTGCACTCCAGCCCAGGCAACAAGAGCGAAACTCCATCTCAAAAAAAAAAAAAGATTAAAACCAAAAGATTTTTCATTGTATTAATAACAGACAAACTAGGCTTCAAGGCAAAAGTATTATTAGAAACAAAGAAGGAGTATATAACTCCAGGAAGATAAAAACAATTCTGAACTCTTATACACCTGATAACACAACCTCAAACTATATAAAGCAAATCAAGGAGAAGCTAACAAATCCATTATTCTAAACAGAGTTTTTTTTCCTTTCTTTCGATAATGCTGGTGCCAATATAATTAGAGATTTTATGACAAACATTCAGTGACTGACACATCAAAAAGATGAAAGAATCACTAAGGATATAGAAAATATAAACAGGGGCCAGGTGTGGTGACTCACGCCTGTAATCCTAACACTTTGGGAGGCTGAGGCATGCGGATCACCTGAGGTGGGGAGTTCAAGACCAGCCTGGCCAACATGGAGAAACCCTGTCTCTACTAAAAATACAAAATTAACCGGCATGGTAGTGCATGCCTATAATCCCAGCTACCTGGGAGGCTGAGGTAGGAGAATAGTTTGAACCCGGGAGGCGGAGGTTGTGGTGAGCTGAGATCATGCCATTGCACTCCAGCCTGGGCAACAAGAGCGAAACTCCATCAAAGAAAAAAAAAAAAAGAAGATATAAACAAGACAGATATTCAATATCATTAGTAATAAGGGAAATGTAAATTAAAGCCGCAGTGGGTTGGGATTTTACTCTCACTGGCTTGGCAGATATTATGAAATTGAACGGTTTCAGATTTGGCAAGGAAATGAATCAGTGAGGACTCTCATCTGCTTTGGGCGGGAGTATGAACTGGTTCAATCTCCTGCAAAAATAGTTTAGCCTTGCCTAATAAAGTTGAACATGTTGCACACACAATAATTGAGCAATTCTCATCTTACACTTATTACTTAAGGAACATATATGTGGCTAATAGTAAGAAAAAAGAGAAATACAGCTGGGCATGGTGGCTCACACCTATAATCCCAGCACTTTGAGAGGCTGAGGCGGGTGGATCACCTGAGATCAGGAGTTGGAGACCAGCCTGACCAACATGGTGAAACCCTATCTCT